>NW_021160010.1:0-158944 GCF_000001405.40 Homo sapiens
ATCTGTGGCTTGCTCATCCATTTGGCAAGGGGACAACTTTGAGGCTTCTATCTGAATCTCTTCATGCTGAGGGCTCTTACCCCATGGGCCATTCCAATCTCACAGAACATTTCCACTCCAGGTGTACAGCTAGGAACTGAGAAGACAGCCATCATCCAGGTCTGTGGGGCCAGATGGGGTGGGACTCCATTTATTACCCAGCTCCCAGCAGGCCCACCCAGACATCGATGTCTGCAGACATTGATATTAAACTACACCCCGTGCCTCTAAATGTCTGCATGCTCCCTCTACCTGAGGCACAGTGACCCCAGCAATGGCCGAAGGTCCACTTTGACAGGGTGGAGAATGAATCACCGTATACCTTGCGTGAATCACCATTGTCCAAGCCACGGAGGCGTGGCTTGGACATGTCACAGCAGTTGGTCTAGCTGGAATCAGCCCAGCACATAACAACAGCTTAATGGGGCTGCTTGGCCACCTCATGACCGAACCCTGAAGGAGTCAGGAAATGTCAAGTTGACCTGTTTTGGAGTTTTTTTTAGTTAAACTCTTTAAGATCATTGGTGTATGCTGCCCACACCTGTCCACCAGGGGACACTAGGAACTCAAGATACACTAACGAGTCTGTGCCCTGTCTTAAGGAAGCTGGCTAGGAGGTTCTAGCACTGTCTCTCTTTCCCACTGCACCTCGGGTGTCCCCATCCCAGCCATCACTGGCTGTACCTGCACAGCCTCCATGACAGCATGAGGAGGACGTGGGAGGGGTGAAGGTGGCACCTCCAGGGCTGCCGCTGTTCTAACTCCAGTGGTAACAGAGCATCTCATGGTCAGCCCCTTCGTCCTCATTACCCAAACCTGGCTCTTCCCCGGTGGCACTTCCTGCCCCGCGTTTCCAGCTGCAGCTCCTCCAGGCCTCCTTGGCGATCCATTTTTGAGGAGCCTTCCTCCCTAGAGATGAGGGTGCTGCTTGCCTAGTTTGAGGTTCTGGCAAGCATTTTGAAAAGGATCTTTCTGATTGTTCTGTTCCTTTAAACTTTTAATTTTCAATTGCCACTGACCCTGAAGAAAGCAGAGGTCCTGAAAAGTGAGAGACCCAGGGGCGTGGGTTTCCACTGCAAAAAGTGCAGCGAAAATGTTTGGAGTCACCGAAGACAATTAAGTGTCAGGCAGGACTGTATTAACCAGGCCATCGGGTCTCAATTTAAAACGGGAATGGTGTTTCTGTTTGAGGGATCTTGTGTATAAACATATCAACCTAGTTAAATTTGTTAGCTCGTACCTTGAATTTTGGCTTCCAAATGTAGCTATTTGACCAACTGGGGAAGTTTCTTAGAGGATGTGGGATTTGAACTGGCCTTTTGGGAGAGACTGGGTGAGTGTGGGGCGGTGGGAAGTTCCGAATGGGGACAGCGCCGAGCGCAGCCCAGGTGGGAGAGCAGGGCAAGGGTTTGGGAAACAGACTCACTGGCCATCGCTTGCCTCCTGGCCTTGGCTTTCTAAGCAGACAGGCAAAGTGGGACTGCCAAGATGTCTGTTTCTTGTTTAAAATACGGTTTTCTCTGTGGTGTTTGGCTGTTTCCTTATTGCTTAACATTCATCGGGTACGAGGATTGAGGGTGGGAGATGCCCTATAATCACAGAAGCTCTGGCTCTCGTCAGTTACACACGCGCATCTGTATAAGAAAGGTTGCACAAAGCTGCACTGGTGCGGGGGCGAGAGCCATGGCTGAGTCGCCCAGTGCTAGTGCAGTGGCCTGGGTGTGCTCAGCATGCAAATAAATGCAAACATTTTGAATGAACATGTCACACGCATGCACACATGTGCACACATAACACAACATGTACACATGCATCTAGACTTTTGTACAGCTATGATCTGGAGTTAGTAGAGAGCCTCTGATGATAAGTTGTCCATATTTAGCTGTAATCTGGAGTCAATATTCCGTAGGTCACTGCCGCTCAAGCCTGAGTGTGTGTGCAAGTCCCCAGGCACCTGGGTAGAATGCAGATTCTGATTCAAGGGGCTTGGAGGGGCGTGACATTCTGTGTTTCCAGCAAGCTCCTGGGAGATGTTGAGCTGCTAGTTCGTGGCCCACACTTTGAGTAGCAAGGCTCTGTGCCTATTAGCGAGCGAGCTCTGCTGGCAGTCACTGATGTCCTCTGCCTGCTGCAGAGGAGGAGCCTGGTTATCAGAGCCGCCGCCTGGGTGTGACCCATCCTCCCTGAAGATGCTGCCCTCTCCCTGGCAGGTCTGAGGCTTGCCCACTGGTGTGCAGCTGGAGCATCTTAGTGGCTTGAGTCCAACGTTGACCCTTGGCCAACTGGGCAACCCCTCTATTCTTGACCCCTGCAAGGCCTCTGGCTCTCTGTTGGGTGCTTTGTGTTGGGGAGTCACCGGCAGCCCCTAAGGGATGCATCCCGTCTGGTGCTAGGATCCCACAGCGCTGAGGCTGAAGGCTGTGGTCTCTGCTTTAGTGACTCTGCAGCCCTTGTCTTCACTTAGGATTCCCTAGAAGCTGACCGGAGACAGGACTTGAGTGTGGGCTCCTCCGGGAGGGCAGGTTAAAGGCATGAGCGCTGAGCCTGTCACCCTCCTGTGCTCCTGAGTGAGGAGAATCGCCAGCTGCCCAGACGTCCAAGTCAGAAAATGCTTTCTTTCACTAAACATGTCCAGTCAGCCTCAAATCTACTCCTAAGGAGCCCCCGGCTGCTACTTCTCGGAGCCCTCACCCCAGCTGCTCCGGGCACTGCCACCCTCCCCTGGCCCCTGTGCATTTCCTAACTGATCTCTGCCCATCTCTCCTCCCCCCACCACCAGAGTGACCACCCGAAAACGTGAACTTATCACTCTTCTGTGCAGAAGCATCCAGTGTCTTCTCCCTGCCCTTGGGATAAAGTCGGAGGCCCTCAGTGGCTTATACGCTATAGAACCTGGTCCTGCCTCCTCAAACCTGGGCCACGCAGTCACCCTCTCTCCAGCCAAAATAGTAACAAAATGACAGCGACTTATGATTGATTTTATTATACTATACTCATTATATAAGTTGTATGATGTATTAAAAAGAAATTTAATAGACATGTATCATAGGAGGCATTTGAATAGGAATGATTTATAGAAATGAACCCCATCTATTAATTTCTTACTAAGTATCAGGTACTGAGCTGGGCTCTTCTCAAATATCTCATTAAACCTTCACACAGCTGAGTGATGCAGCCGTGATTATCTTCCTCATACAGGTGGACACTTTGACGTGGAAAAGGGTTTCAATTGCACAAGGCCACACGGCTAATAAATAGAAGGGTTTGTTTCCATCCACAAGTCTCAAAATCGTCCAGTGGAATGGATCTCCAAATTCTATGTAGCCACTACGTGTGTGTGTCTGTGTGTGTCTCTGTGTGTGTACGTGTGTGTCTATGTGTTTCTGTGTATCTCTGTGTGTCTGTGTCCATGTGTGTCAGTGTGTACATCTCTTTGTGTGTCTGTGTGTGTCAGTCTGTGTGTCTGTTTCTGTGTGAGTCCCTGTGTGTCTGTGTGTGTCTCCGTGTGTGTCTGTGTTTCTGGATGTGTATGAGTCTATGTGTGTCTATGTGTGTCTGTGTCTGTTTGTGTGTGTCCATGTCTGTCCGTGTCTGTCTGTCTGTGTATGTTTCTGTCTGTGTCTGTTTCTGTGTGTGTGTCTGTGTGCGTCTATCTGTGTCTGTGTCTATTTCTGTGATTTCTGTGTGTGTGTCTGTGTGTGTCTATCTGTGTCTGTGTTTGTGTGTGTATGTCCATGTCTGTCTGTCTGTGTATGTTTCTGCGTGTGTGTCTGTTTCTGTGTGTGTGTCCCTTTGTGTCTGTGTGTGTCTCCATGGGTGTCTGTGTGTCTGTGTGTGTATGTCCATGTGTGTCTGTGTATGTGTCCGTGTGTGTTTCCGTGTCTGTTTCTGTGTGTCCGAGTCTATGTTTCTGTGTGTATCTGTGTGTCTGTGTCTATGTCTGTTTCTGTGTATATGTCCATGTGTGTCTGTGTGTGTCTGTATCTGTGTTTGTGTGTGTGTCCATGTCTGTCTGTGTATGTTTCTGCGTGTGTGTCTGTTTCTGTGTGTGTGTCCCTTTGTGTCTGTGTGTGTCTCCATGGGTGTCTGTGTGTCTGTGTGTGTGTGTGTCCATGTGTGTCTGTGTATGTGTCCGTGTGTGTTTCCGTGTCTGTTTCTGTGTGTCCGAGTCTATGTTTCTGTGTGTATCTGTGTGTCTGTGTCTATGTCTGTTTCTGTGTATATGTCCATGTGTGTCTGTGTGTGTCTGTATCTGTGTTTGTGTGTGTGTCCATGTCTGTCTGTCTGTGTATGTTTCTGTGTGTGTGTGTCTCTGTGTGTCTGTCTGCGTCTGTTTCTGTGTGTGTGTGTCTCCATGTGTGTCTGTGTCTGTTTCTGTATGTGTGTGTCCATGTGTGTCTGTGTTCGTGTGTGTGTCTGTGTTTGTGTCTGTGTGTTTGTGTGTCTGTTTCTGTGTGTGTGTCTGTGTGTTTGTGTGTCTCTCTGTTTCTGTGTGTGTGTCTGTGTGTTTGTGTGTCTGTTTCTGTGTGTGTGTCTGTTTGTGTGTCTGTTTCTGTGTGTGTGTCTGTGTGTTTGTGTGTCTGTTTCTGTATGTGTGTCTGTGTGTTTGTGTCTGTCTGTTTCTGTGTGTCCATGTGTGTCTGTGTGTGTGTTTGTGTGTGTCCATGTGTGTCTGTTTATGTGTGTCTGTGTCAGGGGCAGGCACATCTGGTGTGTTGTTCTGAGAAGATGGGAACACCTTGGGATGCGAGGCAGGTTTGTGCAGCCCCACCCTGCAAGGCGATGTCTCCATCCTGGATGGAGGTTTCTGCCATCAGCCTCCATGCAGAGCCAGGCGTCTCCCCAGGTTGCCTTATTTGACCCACGATGATTTAAATATCTGTGGTCTACCTTCCATGGGGAATTAGTTTTCATAACTGGGTGGAGTTTAAGCTACCTAGGATTTAAGTGATGCTTACTTGCTCTAGGTGATCTGGTTGAATGGTGTCAATCTAAGAGTGAGAATCAGGGCTGGGCACGGTGGCTCAAGCCAGCAGTCCCAGCCACTCAGGAGGCTGAGGTGGGAGGATCACTTGGGTCCTGGGGTCCAAGGCTGCAGTGAGCTCTGATTGCACCACTGCACTCCAGCCTGGGTGACAGAGCAAGACCCTGTCTCAAAATACATACATACGTAAATAAAATTAGAGAATCTTATTTGCTTTAAAAATGATGAAACTGAAATATCTGATTTGACATTCACAACCCACAAGTTTGAAGGAGAAAAATCCCATTAGCTTTTGCTCTCTTGACAGGAAAAGTAGATTATGCAGCCTGTCAGATCTTTCTAGATCACCCATTTTTCCTGAACCAGCAAGCTGACGTCATAAGCCATGGCAAAGTGTCCCCGCTGCTGGCCTGTCACCTGATGCACTCGTGCTGCTCAATGGCACAATGAGTATTTTGTCCAAATCAATATTTTTCAGAGATCCTAACTAAACAATGCAATATTTTTACGGGTCTTCTTATATCAGCACAGGGGTTTCTGCATATTTGGTAAACAACAGGAAGATTACAGCTCTTAAACTGTGAATTTTATTTGAGGTAACCGTCAATGGAACTTTTCTGCTTGTCTTAGTAAATCTTAGGAGTTCTCTACAATCAAATTCCCAGGTCTCTCTCATAGGGGCTTTGTAGGTAAAAGTGAAAAGTGATTCAAACATATGTGAGTTCAAAGTGAATTGTATAAATCATGACAAGGTAGGAGAAAGGTGTGTTACATAGTAGGAAAAAAAAGTGTCTTTGGAAATATGTGAGAAACTTTTTCTTTCCTTCACTCCCAGCCTCAACTTATAAACAAACTCTTCTCATATCTATTCTACCCTCAGAAAGAGCAAATTTCCAGGTGCAAGGAGTGGAGAAGTACAAAACTGATTTGTAAAACAAAGGAATTAGTATAGAAAAAAAACTTGCTTAAAAAAACGGAATTAACTGATGCTATCTTGTACTTGGAAAAGCCTATAATAAAGATGCATCAATTAGACACCTCCGTTATGATTGATGGGAGGACGTGCATATTATTTCTATTTACGATTCTCACAAGCTGCTTCTCACTGCCTTCCATCTTCCACAAACAAAGGGTACCTCTTCCTACGCTCGCTGTCTCTCTTCTTAAATGTGAGAGGTGTGTGATGGGACTTGCTGGCTTTTTGGTTCCTTCCTGAAAGAAGGCGAATATAGGCCATGGGATGGTGATACATCTTCTCCTCTGTCTTTCTTTCTTCTCTTGTTTTCATTGCAGTAAACTTCGGTGCACACAGTTTCCTCAGTTTCAAGGTGCTTCTCCCTACAACCACCCCAATCCCATTTCTTCTAAGTAGCCCCTGGTTGGGAAGTCCTTTGAGAACACCCAGCCTCTCTTGTACCTGCAGCGGGCTCCCCACCTTGCAGACAGCAGGTGCTTGGAACTTGCTGGTGAGTCAGAGGGAGAAGCGGAGGTGAAAAAGGAACCTGACCAGGGCAGGTCCTGCCCGGGCTCCCTGCCTCTGCTGCCAGGGGCTGCGCAGCCCTTCGAGGTAATGTGCATGGGCAGAGCTCCCAGAAGCAGCCTCTGTCCTCATCTGCTCTAGTGTTCAAAGTCTGCCTTCTTCCTTTCAAAAATATCTTCATCAATCTTACCTGTCTTTCTAATTTTTTTTTTGTTGGTTTAGCATTTATTTTCTGTTCCTAAATCCTAATCTCACTTGTTCTTATTCTTTTTCATTTTACAACTAGTGGGTTTTAGACTTTTATCTTAATCTTCCCTCTCCTTCACCTTTGGAGCTTTTTACCTCAGTGGTTTTCAGATTTAACTTTTATTTAAATCTCATCAACTATATCTTCTTTTCAACACTTACTTCTTTTTAAAGGATTTTACCCCACATGGGTTGATGGCAAGGGTTTGGAATCAGACAGTTCAAACTGGAAGCTGGGGAAGCTGTCTCCTCACCGGGGTCTGGCTGCGTGCATCTGTAAGATGGACACATGAACAGCACTTGTATCATGGAGATGCTATCATAAGGAACATCATGCATCTGTCCATGGTGAGCGCTTAAAAATTGTTATGCATTGTTAAGGTTGTAATTTTTGTCATCATCATTTTGGGATTTTGATACTTTTGCTTTTATTTTCTGCTTTTTAAATTGCTAAACTTAATCTTATTAAAATATCATTACAAAATAGATCATAAAAAATACCATAAAATAAATACACAAATTAAAAAAATAAAACTAGAAATTATTGATTCACCACTCAGCTTGAAATCACAGAATGTCACAGTGTCTACACAGCTCCCCCAGTCTCCCACATTATATAGCTCCTCCCCTCCTGCAGAGGGAGCCACTGCTATCCCGTGTGTGCAGCCGCCCGCTTGTCTTTAGAGTTTCAGCAGATGATGCATTCTTAACAACACACTAAATAGCATTGATTGTTTGCTGACCTCAATATGACTGACTTCAACTATATATATAATTATTCTTTATAATTCTGTGCCCCATTTTGTTCAGTCAACATTGTATTTTTGAGAGTCATTCCTTCACTGCTATTTAACACTGTTCTTTCATCCCTTTGGAGGCCATAGATATGTGGGTTTCGTGCAGTGCTGTTGGTTTTGGTTTCCTGATCATAAACAGGGCTTTCAGGACTTTCTTGTGCTTGTGTTATTGCACATGTGTGGTGGTTCCTTCAGAGTGGTGTGGCCAGTTCCTCAGCATGAGCCTGTGCAACACTGGTAGGTGATGACAAATGGTGTGTCAAATTTCCTCCTGCTCTGATGGTGTAAAAGAGATGCAGCTGCTCTGCCTCTGTGAATATTGAATATCATCAGACTTTATATTTTAATTCATCCAGTAAGTATGAATGGGATTTCACTGTGGCTTAGCTTTGCATTTACCAGGTTAGTACAGGAGACAATGTGTCCTATATTCACTGGTACCTCATATTTTTCTTCCTGTTCAGTGTCGGCTCTGATCTTTTATTCATTTTTCTAAGACATTGATGGTCTTCTTCTGATTGATTGCTTCAGAGTTCTTCCTAGAGTCTGGATATTATTTCTTTGATGGTTATGTGTGGCAGTATCTTTGTGGTGAACAGAAGTTCTAAGTATTAATGCAGTTGAATTATCCACCTTTTCTGCTGTTTTGTAGTTTTCATGTCTTTATTTAAAAAATAAACTTTCTTTACCTAAAATATACAAAGTTGGTATCCTATATTTTCTTCTAAATTAAAAAAAATCATTTCACATATAAACTACTAGTGCATTGTTTTGTATCTGGTGTAATGGTGTGAGGTAGGGAGGCCCAATTCTTGGCTTCATTAGGCTACTAGTTGTCCCTTTCTTTCTTCAGTCACCCGCAGTGCCAGCTCTGTTAGAAATTAAGTTTCTATATATGTGTGGGTCTGTTTCTAAATTCTATATTCTGTTACATTTGTTTGTCAGTCGAGTGCCAATACCATGCCATCTGGATTACCAGAACTATATAAAAAGTCTCAACATCTGGCATATTTTTTTTCTATTTGGGGCTGTTAATATAATAATGTCATTTTTAATGCAAGGGAAACATTAAAGTCCTATAATAAACTCAATTTGGACCTAGATTCCATTTGCTTCAAATGTTGTGAGTATTTTTGCATTTGTGTTTATGAGTGCTTTTGTTCATGTATGAGACTGGCTTGTCATCTTAAATTATTCTTGATTTTGATAACAATATAATACATGAATTTGAGAAATATTTACTCTATCGTCTCTGGAACAGTGTTGTGGTGAAATTGTACAATGCTTGGTAAAACTCAACTGTAAAATCATCTGTTATTTTCTCTGAAGGTAGATTTTAAATATTGATTCAAAGTATTTAATGATTATAGGACCATTTGGTTCTTTTTGCATTAGTTTAGATAACTTGTGCTATGTAGGAATTTGTCATTTTCATATTTTTTCACATTGGTTGGCTTAAATTTGTTTCTGATAACCCTAGGATATTTTAAAAATTTTTGTTGTATGTTCATTATTGCCAGCTTTTTAATGTGTGTAATGTATATTTGACTTTTATCCTTTTTAACCTCGGTTATATGCCAGATATTTATTAATTTTATTAGTCTTTGTCAAAGAACCAAATTTTGGCTTTGTTGATTCTTTCTCCCATTTCTTTGTTTTCAACTACATAATATTTTGTTCTAATTTTCTCTTTTTTACTTTGTTGGGTCTATTCTCTTAATCTTGTAGTTCATTAACTTCTAGATTTTTTCTTTTCTAATATAATAATTTAAGACTATAAATTTGCCTTGTATTATGACTTTGGCTGCATCCTGTAATTCTTCATACCTAGTAATTTTCTTGCTCAGCCCTAAGTATTTACCAGTTTTCACTATAAATGCTGTTTTGACTTCTGAGATTTTTGGAAATGTATTTTGTACTTCACAAATATACAGATTTGTTTTAAAATTATTTTGTTAATTTTGAGCTTCATACATTATATTGAGTTTAGAGTGCTACCGATTCTAAAAAGTATTCTGATTTCAGAAATCCTAAAATGTGGATAAAAAATGGCAACAGCAAGTATAAGAAGTCACTGATTTTAAGACATATCACAACTTAAAGACACTAAAAATAGAAAAAGAAAATTGGATCTTAGAATCTAAAAAATTTGGGTGCAGTTAGAAACTATGTGTCTGTTATAGTAATTTGCTAAGACATGTTGCAATTGGCCTTATATTCTAGTATACGGTCAGTATTTGTAAATATTCCTTGAGTGGAAAAAAATCACATTTTATTCTCTACTTCTATATATTTCTACTACATCAACCTCTTTAATAGTAGTATTCAAATATTTTATATCCTGACTGATTTTTGTCTGCTTGGTCTTTCAAATATTTACAGAGGTGTTTTTAAAATCTACCATATGATACTAGATTTACCAATATTTTTATAATTTTATCTATTTTTGTTTTATATATGTTGAAGCTATGTTAATAAGAATAAAAATGTTTAGAATTATTACACTTTCCTAGTGAATTGAGCCTTCTGTCAATATATAGTAATCTCTTTTAAAACAAATCTTTAGTAGGGCCTTTTGTATTTTTTTTTTTTTTCTTCCAACTGATACTAATATATCTATCATCTGTACCAGCTTTTTAAGTTATTTGTTTGAAATGTATTTTCCATCTTTTTGCATTTTACCTGTCTATGCCTTTCTGTTTTAGATAGAGCTCTTCTAAATGGCATACAGCTGGAACTTTTAAAATCCAGACTAATAACCATAATATTTAAATTAGGAAGTTTATTCATTTATATTTATCATGAGTACTGGTGTATTTGGACTCCTTTCTACTATTTTATTTCATGCATTCTATTTGTCCTGCATTTTCCAGGTTTTCTTCCCCTTCTGTTCTTACCTTCTTTTAAATTGATTGAGACTTTTTTCCTCCCTATCTTATTTTGCAATTCAATTTGGAAGTAATATATTCTATTTCTATGATGTTATTGATTATCCTAGAAATATTAAGAAGCTATGGCCACTTAACAAAGTCTACTGCTAATATTTACCCTCTTCACAAATAATGCAGGAAATATAGTGTTCTTTCAGTATAAATTATATGTTGTATATATAACTTAGTTCTATCTTGTTATTTTTAACCACACAAATTATATGTTATTATTTCCATGGCTAATGCTTGTTTAGACTTATTCACACATTTACCATTTTGTGTGCTAAACATTTCTTCTTGCATCTCAGACCTTTTTTTCTGGAATCCCTTCTCTCTTCATAGTGTGTGCCCTATAAAAGTTCCTTTAATAAAGATCAATCATAGTTTTAAAAATGTCTTTAGTTCATCATCATTTTCAAAAATACAATTAGCTGATAGACAATTTCAAGTCAACATCTTTTTTTCTGTTTTTTTGAAGATATTATTCCACTGCCTTCCAGCTTCTCCTATAACTATTGAGAAGCCAGCTACCTTTCTAATTATTGTTTAATTTTAGGAAATCTACTTTTTCCTTGATAATCATTTTTAAATATCTTTTTTTATCATTTATATTTGGCAGTATTACTAGGTTGTAGCTAAATTCAGTGGATTTTAAATTTCCCTTCTTGGGATTTATTGGTCTCCCTAATATGAAAATTTATGTCTTTTAAAAGTAATAAAACCTTCCATCATTATCTTTTCAAATATTGTCTCTCAATCTATTTTTCCTCCTAGAATTCTGATAGAAAATATATTTAATATTATAGTAATTTATATATTTAACTTTTATTTTTCTTACATTTTTCTGATATTTTCTCATATTATTCTACATCTCTTAAACTGTATTTTATATTTTCTGCTTTTTTTCTGTTTTCTCCATTCTGCATAAGTTATTGGGAATTGAAGTGTATCTTCCAATCATATAATTCTCTCTTCAGCTGTATCTAGTTGGCTGCTTAGCCTTTCTTTTAAAGTTTCTATTTTCGATTAGTAATATTTTTCATTCTTTTAAAAATCTCTCTGATTCTAGGTCACTGCTCTACATATGGTCAAACAATATTCAAGCTAGTATTTGTCCACTTCATTCATCATTATATTCATTATTGCCTGTGAAAAAATATGTTAGGAAGAGTATAAAGTGGCTGTTTAATATATTATTTACCTTTCCTTGATCCTAGACTTTTCGGGCAGAAGTTGATCAAGGCATGTGTTACACTAGCTTGATGTAAATTCATAGATATTTATGCTTAAACCCACCTTGTGCACTAACACTACTTTGAATTGTGGCCAGTTTGTCAATTTAGGTAAGAATTCCAGTGGTCAAAAACAAAACTGTGTTATAGATCCCTTCTCAAATTATTAGTTAATAACTAGACACTGGTTTTATATGAGTTAGGTGATTACCTCCGTGACAGACAGAATAGAAATACAAATATTCTCTCATTGTCTTTCATCTGGTAGCATTTTCTAACAAACCCTGACCTCAACTGATGTGAAGCTATTTATAATCCCTATTCCATTTGATATTCATACACTTTACTGTGGAAATATTAATGTTCAATGATAGTCTCCTGCCTGAGTTCCCTTGGCATATAATATAATATATGGTATTTTACAAAACTACACAGTAGACTGTTCTAAAATCTGGAATTTATAAATTCTGAAAAACAAGTTCTAAAATCTGGAGGTTATGAATTCTGAAAAACAACTGGGTCTGGGGATTTCAGATAAGAATTTGTGGTCCTGTAATACTTATGTCATTGTGTTCTGGAAAGGATTAAATAAAATATGGCATAGTTCTTAATATAATGTGTTTGGCACATAGTAAACTCTGAATAAATCATAATTACAGTTGTTGTTGAGTCTATTCAGATGTTTCCCCGATTATTGTACTTCATAAAGTGGTTTTGGGGACAAAGAAACAGAAAATATGGATTTGACACTTTAATATGTATATGATGTTTTATCTTCCACGTATTTAGGGTGAAAGCTAGAAGGACACATTGAAAGCTTGTTAGGCAGCAATGTAGGTTAGAGCCAGCAGGACTGAGAACTTAGATCTGAATTACTTGGTGGGGAGGGAAGGCAATAGGAATGTAAAACAATTCCTCAGGCAATCACACTCCATCCAGGGAGGTGAGAACTGTGTTGAAGATTACTGGGGCAGAGTGGGTTCATAGCTTTCTAGCAGGAGGACTGAATCTAAGGGACTAAGCAGGAGGTAATAGGGCAGGGATTTTTTTTTTCTTAATCAAATGGGCAAATATCTTCAAAGATTATACTAAAAGCTGTCAGGTTTGAGGAACTGAAAAATAGCCCTTTGTTATTCCTAAGCAATTTGGCAATATTTATCAACACTCTGAAGAATGTCAGCACCCTTTAACCTACTTTCTCCGCTTCTATAATTTAGTTCCAAAGAAATAATGCAAAATGAAAAAAAAAATCTTATGCAGGAAGCTGTTCATTACCACTCTGTAATTTAGTTCCAAAGAAATAATGCAAAATGAAAAAAAAATATTATGCAGGAAGATGTTCATTACCACCCTGTAAGACGTAATAGAGACAAGCTGGTAAATACTTGTTCATGATGGAATGGTTAAGTCATAGTATATCTGATTTATGGACTATTACAAAGCCGTCCAAAAATAATGCTTGTGAAGCATTTTTTTTTAACTACATGGAACATGCTGGTGATAAAATGTTAAGTGAAAAGCAGGATACTACATTTTATGTAATGCATGTTCTCAGAATTACGTAAAACACACATTCATAGAAAAATAATGGAAGAAAGAGCTAAATAATATTTATGGTGTGTGTGTGTGTGTGTGTGTGTGTAATAATCAGATTACAATTTTTTTTAAATCCTCTCTCTGGTTTTGTATTTTACATTACGATAATGAATTAACTTCTTAATTAAAAAAGCAGCAATAAGAAAAAAGTCAGATGTGGACAAAGTAGAGTCCACAATGAAAGTGTTGCAGCAAAAGCAGGCCGCAGCCAGACTGGGGCGGGGGGTGACGAAGGTGGGGGCCCAGCCACTGTGCAGGGCTGTAGGGCAGAGTTGTGACAAGCAACAACCAAACACACCCTGGTTTGGAAAGTCCAAGGGAATGCCGGTGGAGGGAGTGTGTGGGCCTTGGCATCCAGGAAAGGCACCTGCAGGAGCGTGACCATTGAAAATGCACCCCGCCCGGATGCAGAGTCTGCACTGTCTCCGCAGAGACACTGCCTCAGCCTTCCTGCAATTAGGGAAACCAGGCTGCATTTGGACAGATGGTGGCATTCAGGGCACAGTATTAGAACATTCTGATCATTTGTGAATTAAATACTTGTGTGTCCTCCTACTCCCTTACTGTCTCACCTATGTGGAATGATTTTCTGCTGTGGAGATGCATGGGGTTAAGAGCACAGGTTTCTGGTGCCGGGTGGATCTGAGTTCTAATTCTACTGCTCACTGCTGCCAAATGGCTTCCTAACCTCTCCAAACCTCAGTTTCCTCATTTGGAATGGACCGTGTGTATTGACTGGCTGTTGTGGGATGAAGTGAAACAATGCGACGATCTCAGCCAAATGCCTGAGACCACACAGGTGTTCACAGGAACAGAGCTGTTAGCTCTGGTACAAGCGTGAGTGAGCCATTCACACCTGTCACCCAGCAGGCATGGCGAGCCATTCATACCTATCACCCAGCAGGCATGGGAAGCCACTCACACCTATCACCCAGCAGGCATGGCGGGCCATTCACACCTATCACCCAGCAGGCATGGCAAGCCGTTCACACCTATCACCCAGCAGGCATGGCGAGCCGTTCACACCTATCACCCAGCAGGCATGGCGAGCCGTTCACACCTATCACCCAGCAGGCATGGCGAGCCGTTCACACCTATCACCCAGCAGGTATGGTGAGCCGTTCACACCTATCACCCAGCAGGCATGGTGAGCCGTTCACACCTATCACCCAGCAGGCATGGCTGCTGTCATTTAGAAACACGAGAAGCAACACAGTTCTCAGTGTATGGAAACACCTTCTCATGGGGCTCTCTACAGTTAGGTGCTCTGTGTCAAGGGTTCCCGTTCCTGAGCATGGCTCCTTCTGGGGGCTGACGATGGGGGTGCATGCCACTTCTGCATCCCTGCCCCGTGTCTGCACTGCTTGGCTTCCCCAGACTGGGCAAGTTACTGAAACGAAGCACAGAATTGAGGCCTTGAGCCCTGCCTCATGGGCTCTTTTTCTATTTTCTTCAGAATAAAATGAAGAAATGATAGGTAGGGAGGGAGAGAGAGAGAGAGAGAGAATATAGTACAACAGTTTTGTACCTTAGCTTGTGAAAACCTGTAAAGCTATGACCAGAGCTCACTGCTTCCCGTTGGTGCCTTCATCCATTTTCAGACTGGTTTGTCTTTGGCCACTTGGTGTTAGGGATGAAAGTAATTCCATGCTGCTCGTTGACGTATGCTTTCATTCCGTAATCGCAGGATGAGGGATAAAGGATACCTTTTAGGGATATCGAGGCATCAGTTAAGTCAAGGAGCCCATTCAGCCCCTTGTCTCCTGCGTAGGAAGGAGGATGGTGAGAGCACGATGTCACGGTCTTGTCTGGCACCAGGACCCTGTTACTTCTCCGTAACTTATGAGATATGTGGTTTATAGACGCCGTAGTATAGAAATTTAAAAATGTGTTTAAATAGTAGTCATTTTCTCTATAACTTTTCCTGGTATTGAACTGCACTATGGCCCACTCAGGTGTATTGGAGGACAAAACTGTGAACTGGACTCACGGCTGAGTGAGGAAATTTATGAAGGGCAGGTCTCGAGTTCTTGCCTAAACCCCAACTTATGTTTATTCCATTATTCCTTGAATCTCACAACTAGAGGTGAATCAAAGTTTCTGGGGAGGGCTGAAGCTTATACAATCTAGTCCCCATTAAGAAAAAAATAATGAAATATTAATATAAAATAGCCAGGACTCTTCCTGGTTGCTTAGAAGGGGGCACATGTGCGAGAGGTCTGAGGTTTCAGCTTGAGGGTCTTCATGAAGACCTGGGATGACTAGGTGTCACCCTGCCCAAGTGTGCTCAGAGCTGCTTTGGGCAGCGGCGCGGGCCTGTCCTTCTGAGGCTTCTCTTTCCGTGAAAGCTACGAGAGATCCTGCAGCACTCTGCCGTCTACACTGCATCCTGCTCCTGGTCCGCAGTGGGTACATCAACTGAATTCACCAGGGCAGGTTTAGCACAGTCTGCGAGAAATAGACATTTTTTTTTCTTCCCAGGGAAAACACAATAGGTTTTAGCATTCTTGGGAGAAGACTGCAGTTGTAAGAGGTGGTGTTTTCTGAATATAGCTGTAAGCCCACCTGTTGATAATTAGGAAACAGACGGTCTTGAGCGGGGGTGGGGGAGAGAGGCCACACTTCTGCAGGGAAGAAGAAACAGGCGGTGACACTCCCCAAAGTCACTTCCATATTTATTCTGACTTCCACAAATATTTTCCTCCGTTTTCTCTTCTCCCTTTCTGCATATTTGTTGCACTGTCTTGTCATTATTTTAAAAAGAGTGAAAAGGGCAGGAAGGGAAATAGGAGAAAGGAAGTGACGGAGGAGGCTTCACACACACAGTCCCCAACAATGGCAGTGATGGAGCAGGCTTCACACACACAGTCCACATCAATGGCAGTGATGGAGCAGGCTTCACACACACAGTCCCCAATGGCAGGATGGAGCAGGCTTCACACACACAGTCCCCATCAATGGCAGCGATGGAGCAGGCTTCACACACACAGTCCCCAACAATGGCAGCGATGGAGCAGGCTTCACACACACAGTCCCCAACAATGGCAGTGATGGAGCAGGCTTCACACACACAGTCCCCATCAATGGCAGCGATGGAGCAGGCTTCACACACACAGTCCCACAATGGCAGGATGGAGCAGGCTTCACACACACAGTCCCCAACAATGGCAGCGATGGAGCAGGCTTCACACACAGTCCACAATGCAGGATGAGCAGGCTTCACACCAGTCCACAATGGCAGCGATGGAGCAGGCATCACACACACACAGTCCCCATCAATGGCAGCGATGGAGCAGGCATCACACACACAGTCCCCATCAATGGCAGCGATGGAGCAGGCTTCACACACACAGTCCCCAACAATGGCAGCGATGGAGCAGGCTTCACACACACAGTCCCCAACAATGGCAGTGATGGAGCAGGCTTCACACACACAGTCCCCATCAATGGCAGTGATGGAGCAGGCTTCACACACACAGTCCCCAACAATGGCAGTGATGGAGCAGGCTTCACACACACAGTCCCCAACAATGGCAGTGATGGAGCAGGCTTCACACACACACAGTCCCCAACAATGGCAGCGATGGAGCAGGCTTCACACACACACAGTCCCCATCAATGGCAGCGATGGAGCAGGCTTCACACACACACAGTCCCCATCAATGGCAGTGATGGAGCAGGCTTCACACACACAGTCCCCAACAATGGCAGTGATGGAGCAGGCTTCACACACACACAGTCCCCATCAATGGCAGCGATGGAGCAGGCTTCACACACACACAGTCCCCATCAATGGCAGTGATGGAGCAGGCTTCACACACACAGTCCCCAACAATGGCAGTGATGGAGCAGGCTTCACACACACACAGTCCCCATCAATGGCAGCGATGGAGCAGGCTTCACACACACACAGTCCCCATCAATGGCAGTGATGGAGCAGGCTTCACACACACACAGTCCCCAACAATGGCAGCGATGGAGCAGGCTTCACACACACAGTCCCCAACAATGGCAGTGATGGAGCAGGCTTCACACACACAGTCCCCATCAATGGCAGTGATGGAGCAGGCTTCACACACACAGTCCCCAACAATGGCAGTGATGGAGCAGGCTTCACACACACAGTCCCCAACAATGGCAGTGATGGAGCAGGCTTCACACACACAGTCCCCATCAATGGCAGCGATGGAGCAGGCTTCACACACACACAGTCCCCAACAATGGCAGTGATGGAGCAGGCTTCACACACACAGTCCCCAACAATGGCAGTGATGGAGCAGGCATCACACACACACAGTCCCCATCAATGGCAGCGATGGAGCAGGCTTCACACACACAGTCCCCAACAATGGCAGTGATGGAGCAGGCTTCACACACACAGTCCCCAACAATGGCAGCGATGGAGCAGGCATCACACACACACAGTCCCCATCAATGGCAGCGATGGAGCAGGCATCACACACACAGTCCCCATCAATGACAGCGATGGAGCAGGCTTCACACACACACAGTCCCCAACAATGGCAGCGATGGAGCAGGCTTCACACACACAGTCCCCAACAATGGCAGTGATGGAGCAGGCTTCACACACACAGTCCCCATCAATGGCAGTGATGGAGCAGGCTTCACACACACAGTCCCCAACAATGGCAGTGATGGAGCAGGCTTCACACACACAGTCCCCAACAATGGCAGTGATGGAGCAGGCTTCACACACACACAGTCCCCACAATGGCAGCGATGGAGCAGGCTTCACACACACACAGTCCCCATCAATGGCAGCGATGGAGCAGGCTTCACACACACACAGTCCCCATCAATGGCAGTGATGGAGCAGGCTTCACACACACAGTCCCCAACAATGGCAGTGATGGAGCAGGCTTCACACACACACAGTCCCCATCAATGGCAGCGATGGAGCAGGCTTCACACACACACAGTCCCCATCAATGGCAGTGATGGAGCAGGCTTCACACACACAGTCCCCAACAATGGCAGTGATGGAGCAGGCTTCACACACACACAGTCCCCATCAATGGCAGCGATGGAGCAGGCTTCACACACACACAGTCCCCATCAATGGCAGTGATGGAGCAGGCTTCACACACACACAGTCCCCAACAATGGCAGCGATGGAGCAGGCTTCACACACACAGTCCCCAACAATGGTAGTGATGGAGCAGGCTTCACACACACAGTCCCCATCAATGGCAGTGATGGAGCAGGCTTCACACACACAGTCCCCAACAATGGCAGTGATGGAGCAGGCTTCACACACACAGTCCCCAACAATGGCAGTGATGGAGCAGGCTTCACACACACACAGTCCCCAACAATGGCAGCGATGGAGCAGGCTCCACACACACACAGTCCCCATCAATGGCAGCGATGGAGCAGGCTTCACACACACACAGTCCCCATCAATGGCAGTGATGGAGCAGGCTTCACACACACAGTCCCCAACAATGGCAGTGATGGAGCAGGCTTCACACACACACAGTCCCCATCAATGGCAGCGATGGAGCAGGCTTCACACACGCACAGTCCCCATCAATGGCAGCGATGGAGCAGGCTTCACACACACACAGTCCCCATCAATGACAGCGATGGAGCAGGCTTCACACACAGTCCCCATCAACGGTAGCAATGGAGCAGGCTTCACACACGCACAGTCCCCATCAATGTGGGCAGCGTGGCCAGCCACAAATGCCAGATTCTTCTAAAAAGTATAACACAAGGGTATTTGTTCCACCAGTTTTCTAAACATGATAGAAGTTTGGCTGTACTGTTTTCACCCTATTTAAACATGACAACGGGGCTTTTTCCCAGTGTCGGGTGGAGCCCGTGCTGGCTGAGTCCCTCTGAAGCACCTGAGGAGTGAAGTGGGGGCCAAGCCTGGAGGAGGGTCTGTGCATGGAGGTTCCACTCAGGAAAGTGGCACAGGGGGGCTCCAGGTCCAAACCCCCGGTGCAGGCCCAGGACAAGGCGTAGGGAGCCACTGGCCCCCCCACTGGAAGGGGACTGCTGGGGGGCAGGGAGGCTCACTCTCTTCTGTGTTGAAGCCCAGTGCCCGGCCCCAGCCTGGTGCAGAGCAGACCTGACTCAGTATTTGTTAAGTGATAGATTCTGGAATGATCAGGGCAGGATGGGAACGGGACTTCAGTAGGCAGAGTTGAACCCGGAGGGAGAGAATTAGAAACAAAAGAGGTGAGTGAAGGAGCCGGTCTCCTCCTCCCTCTCCCAGGAGAAAATGAGTTCTGCCATGAATACCACGCCCAGGGGAGGCTGCCCATGCTGACCAGCTGCCTCTCTCAGCTGAAGGAAGGGGATGGAGCAGCCTAGGAAGGTTGACATTTGCATCAAAAGCAGCCGGGATAGTGTAACAATGGGCTGGCACCAAGTTTCCCAAATGTTTCAGCTTCAATTATTTGTCTGCTCCTCTGTGCCCAAAGCTTCTCATTCTAACTCAACTGTAATGCATGGCATGGCAGGGCAGGGCATCACTGGTCCCCCACCATGGGCCACTTTGCTGGGCACCATTCCATGCACCACTGCAACGAGAGGGAACTCTGAGTGTACTCGTCCATTCTCACACTGCTCTAAAGGAATACCTGAAACTGGGTGATTTGTAAAGAAAAGAGGTTTAACTGACTCACGGTTCTGCAGGCTGTACAGGGGGCGTGACTGGGGAGGTCTCAGGAAACTTTAAGCATGGCAGAAGGTGAAGAGGGAGAAGGCACGTCTTCACATAGCCAAAGCAGGAGGAAGAGAGAGAAGGGGGAGGTGCCACACACTTTTAAACAACCAAATGTCATGAGAACTCACTTAGGATCACAAGAACTGCAAGGGGAAACTCCGCCTCCATGATCCTATCACCTCCCACCAGGCCCCTCCTTCAACACTGGGGATTACAATTAGACATGAGATTTGGACGGGGACACAGATCCAGACCATATCACTGAGTAACTGAGATATTTCATGGAGATAGAGGTAACCCATCAGCTGAGCTAGAGCCCAAGGGACCACCACCACCGCACCCTGGAATTAAGCTGAGAGGGAAAGGGCTTCCAGTTCAACCCTCTATGTTCAAATTCACAGTCTAAGTCATGTCTCAATATGCTGCGTCCTAACCCAAAATGCGTTTGGAGAGATTTCCTCATAGTTTAAAAGAAAAAAAAAGTTAAATATGATCATTCTAATTGGAAAAATAAATGCATGTGGATTATAGGAAAGTGCATATTTTAAGGAAAAACAAAAATCATAATGTATGTAAAATCTTGTATTCTGCATTTTTCACTTAGCATTTCATTGTGAGAATTTTTCCATATCATTAAGCGCTTCTCTAAAATGATTTTGAATATTATCCAATGGTCCTTGAAAAATATGCATGGTTATTAATTTTGAGTTGATTTATTTTAAACTATTCTCTTGATGAATGTTGAATGTTTTCCCCCAGGCTTAATTTTTTTTAATTGCAATTTATATCTTAGTAAAATCCTTCATATCTGTTTCTGATTATTTCCATAGAGGGAAGAATGATAAAGCAGAATTGCAGATCCAAAGGAGGTAACCATTTCTGAGGCATCTGAGACACGTTGGAAGTCTGCACTCTGGAAATTATACACAAATGGGCACACTCATGGACAAGGTATGTGTGATTCTTGATGCTTATCTCCACTTGACAATTGGAGTATTGTGAATTTCTGAAGTCTTTCCCTTTTTGGCCATTAAAACAATGGTAGCTGGTATCAGGTTGTGTTTGTTTGCCTGTGAGTGAGGGTACACTGCTTTCTTGAGGGAACTGGCTGTGTATTGGTCTGCCTTTCTGAACTATTTGTATCCATAGACCATTCTTCCATAGAGATGTTTTTTCTTATTGATTTATAAGTGCTCTTTACATATTGAGATATTTAATAGCCTTTGAGTACTGCATATATTTTAAATGTTTTCCCCAATTTGTCATTTGCCTCTATTTTTAATATGAAAAAGTATAAAAATTTTAGGTTGTCAAGTCCATCAAATTTTTCCTTAGTGTTTTATCTTTGATGTCATGTTTAGAAAATCTGTCTTCACGTCGGATCTCTACACATGTGACATTTCTTTCTATAGTTGTTTAAGATTTCCTTGTTCTTCATCTGGAGTAGATTTAGATGTATGGTATGAGTACAAGTGCCAACATGTATTTATTTATTGTTTATAATTAAATAACTATTCCAGCAGAATTTATTGAATAATTCAGTCTTTCTCCACTGATTTAAAATACATTTTTACATTAAAGAATAATGCATAGTTTAGTTCTATTTCTGCTTCTCTGTCTCTGCCATTGAACTCCTATCTCATCACCTGTCAGCGCCACAAGTCTGAGTCGGTATGGCCTGATACAGCTTGTTTTCAAATGAAGCAGAAGGATATCCCTTCATTATTTTTCTTACTCATTTGTACTTCCATATCCAGTTTAATATAACTTAGTTAAGTTTGCAAAATTATGTTGACTTTTTACTGGAATTTCATTCAATGTATTAAATAATTTAGGGTGAATTGACATCTTTGCAATATACACAATGACTTTACTATCTAGGATTATGACATGCTTATTTACTTTATATCTGCTTCCTTCATAAATATTTGCTTGATAAAGATATATTTTTCATAACATTTATTTCAATATATCTTCATGTGATATGGTTATTCTGAACAACTTTTTCATTGATGATATATAAGAATTATATCAATTTTTGTATATGTATTCTGCTAAGTGCATCTAGATTGACACAATAGTTAACCTTACTTTGCAAGTTATTTATTGAGAGAGAGGTAGAGGAGAAAAATCTTACTATTAAAAATAATGATAATTTCGCCTTACAAAGTTTTAGATTTTACTTATCTCCTTGAAATGCTTGGGATCAAGTCATCATAATTAATGCAAAAGGAAAAGTAATATTAAAGGACGTTTCATGGACTCCACCATACACAGGACATCCTTTAAAGCCTGCTGCGTCCTTGGGGTGAATTTTTGATATCTGTATTTCCTGTTCACTCAGACGCTTGTTCTGATATTCTTGTGTGGAATGTGACCTTACCTTGAAGGGGGAATGAGAGAGAGAGAGGGAGAAAGGAGAGAGAGGGAGAGAGGAGCTGGATACATTTATTTAATGTTACTGTTTTTTAGGGGAAAGGGGAGTAAAAGAGATGGGTCCTTATTGTTCTGTTTGTGGAGAACTCTGCAGTAAATCAGATGGGTCCTTATTTTCCTGTTCGTGGAGAACTCTGTGCAGTAAGTCAGACGGGTCCTTATTGTCCTGTTCGTGGAGAACTCTGTGCAGTAAGTCAGACGGGTCCTTATTGTCCTGTTCGTGGAGAACTCTGTGCAGTAAGTCAGACGGGTCCTTATTGTCCTGTTCGTGGAGAACTCTGTGCAGTAAGTCAGACGGGTCCTTATTGTCCTGTTCGTGGAGAACTCTGTGCAGTAAGTCAGACGGGTCCTTATTGTCCTGTTCGTGGAGAACTCTGTGCAGTAAGTCAGACGGGTCCTTATTGTCCTGTTCGTGGAGAACTCTGTGCAGTAAGTCAGACGGGTCCTTATTGTCCTGTTCGTGGAGAACTCTGTGCAGTAAGTCAGACGGGTCCTTATTGTCCTGTTCGTGGAGAACTCTGTGCAGTAAGTCAGACGGGTCCTTATTGTCCTGTTCGTGGAGAACTCTGTGCAGTAAGTCAGACGGGTCCTTATTGTCCTGTTCGTGGAGAACTCTGTGCTGTGGTAGAACTCTGTGCAGTAAGTCAGACGGGTCCTTATTGTCCTGTTCGTGGAGAACTCTGTGCAGTAAGTCAGATGGGTCCTTATTGTCCTGTTCGTGGAGAACTCTGTGCAGTAAGTCAGATGGGTCCTTATTGTCCTGTTCGTGGAGAACTCTGTGCAGTAAGTCAGATGGGTCCTTATTGTCCTGTTTGTGGAGAACTCTGCAGTAAATCAGATGGGTCCTTATTGTCCTGTTCGTGGAGAACTCTGTGCAGTAAGTCAGATGGGTCCTTATTGTCCTGTTCGTGGAGAACTCTGTGCAGTAAGTCAGATGGGTCCTTATTGTCCTGTTCGTGGAGAACTCTGTGCAGTAAGTCAGATGGGTCCTTATTGTCCTGTTCGTGGAGAACTCTGTGCAGTAAGTCAGATGGGTCCTTATTGTCCTGTTCGTGGAGAACTCTGCAGTAAGTCAGATCTGCAGTGCACACAGCACAGCCTTTCCTAAAGCAAAGGTGAAGACTGTTGGGTTTTCTTTAGTCTCCAAGGCATCGACATGCTCGGAGCATGTGTTTGTCTTTTGGTTTTGAGCCAAAAGTTGTCGGTGTTAATTGAAAACCTCCTAACAGTGTTAAAGCAGAGTTTTAAGGCAGGTGGATTTGAGCACTGACCTTGAGCCTGGGCACCTAAGTCAATTGTTTTTCCTACATTGGCAACTCTGTGTGAAGCACCGTCCCCGATGCCTGGCACATTGCAGGTGGCCCATAGCTCCTGGCTGTGGGGTGGCCTCTCTCCAGTGCTTGCTGCCTTCCAGGTACGCGGTGGGACTGCAGTGCTGGCCCACTTTAGGTGAGGCAGGCCGGGTGGCAGATGTTGCTGCCATGTGGAAGACTTGCTTTTTGGCCCAAGGCCCTCTAGGACTCTGCTCTCCTCTGGGAGAAGCTGGCTGTGCTTGGAATGCCGCTGCTTCACAGGCCTGGGGTAAGGGACCCCCCACTCTACCCCACCCCGATGAGCTCCTGTGGACACATGCCGTGAGCAAAGCCAAGGCTTCCTGTGGTGCTCTCTGGGATGCTGACCATCCGTCGTGGTGGCAGCCAGCTGCCTATCTGACTGATGCATGAGGTTGTATCGGAGATTTTAACCAAATCCATGAAAGCCCCAATCCAGGGAAGCCCCGATTCACCTTCTGGGAGGAAGAGCTCCCATGGCTTTGTCAGCGAGGTAGACAGAAGGGTCCCCCAAAGATGTCTTTGCCCTGGTTCCTGGAACGTGTGAAAATGTGTTACCTGGCAAATGCGGCTTTGCAGATGTGATTAAGGTTAGGAGTACAAGATAGGGGCATTCCCTTGGATGCTGCAGTGGACCCAAGAGAAGCATGGGAGCTCTAACAATCACCTGGAGACCGGAGGCAGAAGGGAAGCTCAGAGACAGGAGGGTCGGGACTGCACCCATTGTTCCTGGCTTGGAGGCTGCAGGAGGCTGTGGGCCAGGGGAGTGGGCAGCTGCAGGTGGTGCTGTGCATGGCCCCAGTGGGGGGCCAGCAAGGAAACAGGATGTCAAACCCATATCTGCAGTGGCTACACTCTGCCAGCCACCCCAGTGAGCCTGGAAGCGAATTCCCCCCTTGAGGTTCCAGGTCACATCCTGCCCACCAGGTCTCTATTTCCACCTGGGGGACCCAGAGCAGGGATACCATCTGAGCCATCAGACTTTCCACCACTAGAAGCATGCGGTGAGCAATCTGCCTCGCTCTAAGGCACCGTTTGTGGGAATCTGCAACAGCACCCACAGAAAACAAAAGCCGACTCCCGTCAGCGCGCTGATCTCCGTGACGCACGTCGTTGTCCTTTAGAGTCCAGTACTTTAGAGCTGAGAGGCAGGGAGGCCACCGTGAGGTTTTCTTTCTCGAGGAGACAATTTTCACAGCTGTGCGGCAGATGGAGGGGGCGTTGCAGATGGAAAGACTGGCTGGGAGGGGACTGCGGAGCCCAGGGTAGGGCCAGGGTTCAGGGTCCAGTGGTAGCAGCGGAGAAGGAGCAGGACGAGCAAAACTGCCACCTGTCCTGGCAGGAGAGATGGCAGTGGGGCAGCAGGTGGCGGCCAGCAGGATGCAGGGAATCATCACCCCTTCCCTCCGAGCACTCACTTTCACACTAAACACTCTCACCCCAGACACATCAACCCAGGAGGTCATTTTCTTGGGTCCACCTTGTCTGGGTCACTGATGTTAGAAGGACCTAGAGCCCAGACGAGGATCAGGCACCCATTTAGGCTGTGTCTTTAGAGAAACTGCCAGAGGGCTAGACTTAGAGAAAATATTGCAATCAACAGAGGGGGAAGAAGGTGTTCTGGCCATGGGCAGACTCTGCCCAAGTGAGGCATGGTGGCAAGAGAAGCTCCACTGACTTCTGCTGGGGACATTTTTCTCCCCCATGAGGGGTCCCTGATCCACCCAATGGCAAATGCTGCCTCCTCTCTGTGCTCTGATGTCGCTGGACTACTCCGACATACCCACCCTGTTTAGGTGAAATCACAGTTGAGCCTGCAGCCCTTAAGCCCTTTCCTATAGGACAGATGAATGGACGGTGCTGATGGAGTTGCCTCGCTCTCTGTGCCAAGCCTCATGCTGGGGTATGCGCTCACTGCTTGCAGATCGGTGGCCCCCACTGCCTTCCTGCTGTGGCTTCTGTGGACCCCTCTGCCTGGAATGCTGTTCCCTCCCTAGGGCAAGCCCAGCATAACACTGAGCTCTGATTCTGCACCGTTCCTCCCAGGAAGCCTTCCTTGCCATCCCAGCCGCATGAGGGGTCCAGCCAGGCCTGCAGCTGGACACAGCCACCAAGTGGGCTAGGCAAGGCCAGCCAAGGGGCCACCCAGTCAGCCCACATCTTTGTAAGAATTGACAGATCCTTCTCAGCTGCTCTGTTTTGGGGATGGGTTGTTAGGGAGCAAATCCTAACCGACACCATGGTCTCAACTCTGGGGAGAGAACGACGTGGATGAGCTGATGACTGGGGTGGTCTCAGCTGTTGGAATTGTGGCAAGATGACATCATTGACTTTCTGGCGGGTTTTCTCCCACTAGCTGATCCCCAAGGCTCCATCAGAAGCACAAATGAATCAGAAACACATGGCTTGGCAGCCAGGTGTCTCTCAGGGTGCGTGCGGGGCTACAGGTGAGACATTAAGCAGGGTGGTAATGATGATGGTGCTGACCTTGCTGGTGGAGTACCAGGCGCGCTCTGTGGCTCTGTCATAAGCATCTCACTCTGCAGTCTAAATGGGACTGGACTGCAAAGCTTTGCAGCAGCCAGGTACTGTGCAGAGGTGCTGGTGCTGGGATGCTGTAGCACCCCAGCCTGGACCATCCTTATTCTCCAGGTTGAAGGCTGTGGGAACCCTGGCACAGCAGGCGACATCTTCAGCCTTGAAGAGTGGGAAGGGGAAGGTGTGTGCTGTGTCCAGCTCTTTCTACCCCTCCTAGAGAAGGCGCTGCCTGAGCTGGGTTCAGTCGGGTCCTGGGGGAGCAGTGGGTTCTCTACTCTCAGAAGCAATTCACACTTTTAAAGCCAATTAATAACTGATGAGATGAACAGTGCCTGCAAAGGACCTGAAGGTCCATTTCCATTCCACAAACCTTACATCAGGAATAGTGTTCAGCTCCGCAGCCCAGAGGATGAATGAGGCCTCTGGGGAGTTCAAGCCCTAATGCGGAGAGTTAATTTGTTATGCTCAGTTAGTCTCTTTGCATTAGAAAGGTAATAAATACGTGCACGTTTAAAAGCTACCTAAGCATATTACACTGGAGAAGGAAGGCCTTGCTTAGATTGGCCTTTTCCAGAAGAGTTTTAAATTTTGACCCAAGGCTGCACCCAGCTCTGGAACCTAAGGTTTGAGTCTGTGCTAAGCTTGTTCAGTATGATGAGCTACCTAAGCAGGTCACAGGCCATATGACATTACACTGACCTGGGACTCGAGGGCAGGGAAAGTCCAGCCTCAGAATGGCAGCAGTTGAGGCAGATGTGGGGTATGGGGTTGCTGATTTGTCTTCTTAGCATAGCAACAAAGACATTTTGTGTTTCTATGCACTGCTGGATCTGAACCCGTGCTCTGAAAAGCTGAGGTGCTGCAGGGTGAACCCCTGCACTGGCCGTCTGGGGGCAGATCCATCCAGATCCCACCCTGTGGCTGGAGAACCAAAGGGCAGCCAGTGCCTTGGCCCTTGTCTTCGCAGCCCCACGAGGAAGTTATTCAGGTTGGAAAAGACAATTAAATTTGGAAAACTTGATTGGGGTGGGGGCCTGAGCGCTTTCCCCCCAGCTGCATCATGAGGCGCCTGGCCAGTCCGCACACTCAGGTGCAGGTCCTGCTGGCCTCTGCCCCGGCCACTGTCTAGTCACCTCTTCCAGCAGGCGAGGCGGGGTGGCAGGTGGCTGGCCTCCTCCTGGAGGCATTCCCGTGGTGTCTGTCGGTGTCACAGGCATCACTGCACTGAGACTCCCGCCCACCAGGCTTCCTGCTTCCTCTGGTGGCTGACTGCATGTGTGTTTTCATCTTTTTAAAATTCCTTGTTGTGTCCATTTCCTGGGGCTGCTGTCACCACCACAGACTGGGCAGTGCTCTGCAGTCTTCGGTAGTTCTGGAGGCCAGAAGTCCCAGACCAGGGGCTTGGCGCGGCTGTGCTCCCACGTGGACCTGCAGGAGAGGACCCTTCTTGTGCCTTCCAGTCTCCGTGCTGCTGGCAGGTCTTAGAATTCCCTGCCTTGCAGAAGCATTGCCCCGGCATCCACCTCCATCTTCACGGGCATTCTTTTTTTTTTTTTTTGAGATGGAGTCTCACTCTGTTGCCCAGGCTGGAGTGCAGTGGCACGATCTTAGCTCACTGCAAGCTCTGCCTCCCGGGTTCACGCCATTCTCCTGCCTCAGCCTCCTTAGTAGCTGGGACTACAGGCGCCCGCCACCACGCCCAGCTAATTTTTTGTGTGTGTATTTAGTAGAGATGGGTTTTCACCGTATTAGCCAGGATGGTCTCGATCTCCTGACCTCGTGATCCACCCACCTCGACCTCCCAAAGTGCTGGGATTACAGGCGTGAGCCACCGCACTCAGCCTCCTTCTCTTCTTATAAGGAGAGGCCATGCTGGATGCAAGGCCCCCACTCCAGTGTGACCTCACCTCAACTAATTACATCTGCAAATACTCCATTTCCAGATAATGTCACTGTCTTAGGGCGTTTGTGCTGCTGTCACAGAATGCCATGGACTGGGTAATTGATAAAGAACAGACACTTCTTTCACACAGTTCTGGAGGCTGGAAGTCCAAGATCCAGGTGTGGGCACCTGGTGTCCGGTGGGGGCCCTCTTGCTGCGTCCTCATGTGTCAATGAGGAATGGAGATGAGCTCCTGGTAAAGCCCATTCATAAGGACACCTGATCCCTCCAGGAGGAAAAAGCCCTCTGGGCCAAATCGCCTCTAAAAGGGCCTGCCTCTCAATCCCATCACATTGCCAACACCTGCATTGGAGGCGGAGGAGACACACTCAAACCATAGCAGTCGGATTCACAGGAACCAGGAAGGACGTGGGTGTGGGAGGACATGACTCCGTCCAGGGCACATGTTAATCCATCTCTTCAGGCTGTGGCTTTAGGTCAGCTGTGCACTTAGTCTTCCTTCGTGTGACTGGGGTGTGGGGGATGGATGATGCTTTGGGCAGCAGAGTGGGGGATGAGTCCACACTGTTTGGCTCTCCCTCCTTCCCAGTGCTCCCCTCACCACCAGCACTGCTTTGCTCTGCCTTTCCACAGTGCCCCCAATTGTTTCAGCCCTGTACCTGCACATACATTCCTTCCGGCTTTCTATTGCTACCCTGGCCTTATTGTCTGGATCAAATGAAGTATTTTCTGACTGATCAGCATTTTCTGCTGAGATGAATTAGTCAACGAGTTACGGCAGGGGTATGCAGCGAGAGAGAAATTAACTCCCCAAATGTACATCTTATGTAGGTAATATCTATCCCCCAAATTTGCAGTAACAGTAGTTAAGGCAACTAATTCCTATAAACCCCCAAATAAGTTGTGGCTATCATGACTTATTCCCAGTCCCATAACAGATGGCTGGAGGTGTTCTGGGTGGGACAGTTCTTCTCCAGGTGGTGACTCAGGGATCCAAAGCTCTTCTGTCCTATGATATATCATCCTCTATAGGTTGTTCCTAAGGGCACCAAGATGTTGCCTCTATTCCAGTCAAATGGAAAGGGGGAAGATCATGGAGGAGGACATGTGGAAGGTGAAAGTCACCTATTTTTATGTTCCATTGTACCTGCTATGGAAGGCCCTATACACCAGGAGAGGTGGTGTTGAACAAGATAGATCTTACCCTGTCCTCATGGAGCTTACAGTCTGGCTGGATTAGTGTCACAATTAGTTCAATTGCTCAAGTCAAAATTCCATGAATGCCAGTTTTCTCTCATTTTTTCTCAATCTAGTTTGTAGCTGGAATTTCAAATATCCAGCCAAAAATCTTCATCACAATAGCATGAAGTTCAACATATTCTTTCTCTCAATGTCTCTTCAATCCATTTTCTTGTTGCCACCAGAATGACTACAGCAGCCTCCAAGCTAATCTTGCCTCTTTTATTGACTGTTTTCAACTCTGCCCCATCTCACCAGCAGAGCCACACTAATAAACTGTAAAGCAGATTGGGCTCTGGTTTCCTATACAATGATTTTCCTGGTTCTTACCAGATAAGGTCCAAATGCCTTAGAATAGAATCCAAGATCCTCTGGAGGCGGGCCTCTGTCAACGTCTACATCCTTGTCCCTCAACACCCCCTCTCACCTCTCTCCTTCCAGCCCTGTACACACCACCCCCATTCCCACAAAACACTCTTGGATGCACCACCTTGCTCATTCTCTCTGTGCCCTCAAATGGAATATGGTCCCTCTGTCTTACCTTCTTGGTAAACTCCAATTACGCCTTTAGTTTTATTTTAGTTTTTATTTTATTATTTATTTATTTATTTATTTATTTATTTATTTATTTATTTTTGAAGATGGAGTCTCACTGTCGCCTAGGCTAGAGTGCAGTGGTGTGATCTTGGCTCACTGCAACCTCCGCCTCCCAGGTTCAAGCAATTCTCCTGCCTCAGCCTCCCGAGTACCTGGGACTACAGATGCACACTGCCACACCTGGCTAATTTTTTGTATTTCGGTAGATACAGGGTTTCACCGTGTTGCCCAGGCTGGTCTTGAACTCCTGAGCTCAAGCAATCTGCCCACCTTGACCTCCCAAAGAGCTAGGATTACAGGTGTGAGCCACTGCACCCGGCCTACTTTTTATTTTTATGAACTGGTAAGCATGCATGTAGTTAAAGAGTTAAGTCATTCTCTAGCATTTGTACAAATCATAAAAATCCCTTGCCTCCCCTACTCTCATTTATCCCTCCTTAGACAAAAGCACTTTGAACTTTTCTCTCTGATTCTTTTGGTATTACCTCCACATTTCTAAATAAAGGTGTTTAGATTGCTATTCCTTGGAGTTCTGTTTTAGGCATTTATTTGTTGAGTTCATACTGTGTAAAAGTGAGTTAGCTTTCTTCCACCATCCACCACCATCCTCCCAGTATTACAGTGCTACCTTATTTTAGAAATGTTTACATGGCTGTATCTATGTAATGTAATTCACAGTTAGTACATGCAGTGTGCCATGATTGCATTTCCTTCCTGCACAAATATCCTGGAATTGATCATTGTTTTTTTAATTGCTTTGTTTTCTATGTACTTATAACTAATTACAATCCAAACTCTTCTCTATTATCTAATTCTTCAATACTTTCATGTAGACCCGATATTTTATCATTTTCATCTTCTTGAAGAACCCCTCCTTGAGCCTCTAAGCTTTTCTCATCTAGAGTTGTTTCCAGTTTCTCCTTTGGCACATATGGCTTCCTGGGATCTCACACCACATTATCTGGTGATTCCCTTTGCCTTTCTCTTGTATTGTATCACTTGTTTCCTGGAATGTGTATTTCTCCCATTTCTGATTCACTCCCTCTTTCTGATGGAGCACGTCCTTCTGTAGCTTTCTGATAAGATGTACATAAGAGGTAAATTTTTTGAGAACTTTTATGTCTGAAGGTAATTTCTATCTTCTTTTAAATTTGAGATTTGGGATAGATGTAGAAGGCCCAGCAGAAAACAGTTTTCATCCAGGGTTGTGAAGGCATTTCTCTACTGTCCTCCAGTTTCCTTAATTACTGTTGAAAAGGATGATGTTGTTCTGATCCTTTGTATGTGATCTTATTTCTTTTTTCCTATGTTTAGGAACTCCACTGAGCAACACTCTGATGCAGATCTGTATTCATCCATTGTTCTGGGCAATTGATGGGCTTCTTTAATTTGGAAAATCATGTCCTAGAAATTTGCTGGAATTATTCTATTGATTATTTCCTCCTCTTTGTTTTCACTGTTACCTCTAGAACTCCTGTCATTTGGTCATTGGACTTCCTATACTAATGCTGTGATGTTATCATCTTCCTTTCCTATTTTCTATTTCTATACTCCTATTTCTATTTTCTATTTCTTTGTTTATTTGCTCTACATTTTCAAAGGTTCATTTCACTTTATTTTCCACTTTCACTTTTGAGATTTTCATTTCTGCCATCATATATTTAATTTCAGTCCAAATGGTCCTTTTTATAGCTTTCTGTTCTTGTTTCTTTGATATAATATTGTCTCTTATCTCTCTAAAGAATTAATGGTAGTTTCTATAAAGTTTGCTTCTTCCTATGTGGTCTCTGATTTATTTTTTAATTTTTATTTATTTATTTATTTATTTGAAACAGAGTCTTGCTCTGTTGCCCAGGCTGGAGTGCAATGGCGTGATCTCAGCTCACTGCAACCTCCACCTCCCAGGTTCAAGTGATTCTCCTGCTTCAGCCTCCTGAGTAGCTGGAATTACAGGTGCACACCACCATGGCCAGCTAATTTTTTTTTTTTTTTTTTTGTATTTTTAGTAGAGACAGGGTTTCACTATGTTGGTCATGCTGGTCTTGAACTCCTGACCTCAAGTGATCTGCCCACCTCGGCCTCCCAAAGTGCTGGGATTACAGGCGTGAGCCACTGCACCCTGCCTGGTCTCTGATTTATCTAAGAAAATGTGTTTCTGTTTGTTGGTTTCTATCTCTGCCGTTCATATTTGAGCTTTTGCTCCTGTGTCTGATGCCATTTGGTTCTTTGCTCATATTTAAGAAAGAAGCACTAAAAGGTCAACTGGACACTCCAGGCCAGGTTTTGATGATTGTGAGATTTACTGTGGGGAAGTCAACTACTCCTTTAAGTTGAGGGACTTCAATGTCAGTAATTTTAGGTCATTTTTCTTTATCAATTCAGATGCTACATGCTTTCATCTGGATTGCATAACCCTGACAGCTTGGTTATGAGGACCAAGCAAGGCAAAGAGCTGAAGACATCAATGCTCACTGACCGTTTCCCGTTTCCATGGTCGTGCCCCTATGTGCAACTGCACTGCAGTCCCCTGCTTTACCCTGCAGAGGTCACATCTCTGGCCTCCTGCTGGGTGGCGAGGAGAGCATCCTCCCACCTGCATGCATTGGAAATGGAGATCTAGGAATCTGACCACTTCTAAAGAGATTTTTGATCCATCTGCCTGCTTTTATTTCAATTTGATTTACAGCTCTCAAAGGTCCCTGGCACTGGCGTCACTGGCCTTTGGGACCCTGTCCTGTGGTGTCAGCTACAACAGCTCTCCCCACTGCTGGCCCAGCTGCAGCCTTCCCTGGTCTTCCAAATTCATTGTCAATCATCTGTCTACTCTCCAGCTTCCAAAATTGTGTTATTGTTCTTTCCTTCCCTTTTCTCTTTATGCTGGTGGGTTTGTACCTTTAAAAGAAGCCCTGTACTATCTTGGTGGGGGTTCAGAGCCCCGTTCAATCTGCCAACTCTACAGGAACAAAGCACAGCCTCACCCTCCTTAGATATCTCCCAGTCACCTGGCAAAATCAACCACTTCATCCTTTTATTGTCACCTCTGACTTTAATCACGCTGTCTAGGTTCTATCCCCAACTAGACAAAATGCTCCTTGAAGGCAGAGACAGAGTCGATTTATTTATCCCCAGCACCAGTACAGTGCTTGGCATTCAATCCATCACTCACTCATCAAACGTTATGTAATGCATGTTATATATGTGAACATATTGGGAATTCAGAGAGAAATGAGACATGGTTCCTGATATTGAGAGGTTTGCTTCAGCATTGCAAGGTTGTGGGTAAAAACATATGTGAAACATATCATTCAAATAACATATGTGTATGTGAATATACATGTGTCTATTTATATGCACATATACATGTTGAAACATATAACAGTCAATAAACTTTGTCTAACAACTGATACAGTCGTTTGAATACTGACCCTGCTTCCAGAAGCATAAACGGCTAATGAGTGGGACCTTGGCTCCCTTGTCATAGTTACCATCCCGTTACACAGTGTAACAATGTCATATGTGAAATACATATGTGTTTGCTCATTAATCCATTGTCTGTACATTTTGAGAAGACAGAAACAAAGGTGAAGTAAAGTTGTGTAGCCAAAGTTATTTCTTCGTTGATTAAATTCCGTGCTGCATGTAGGAATCAGGTCTGATTCACCCTTTTCCCTCTCCACACCAAGCACATAATTTTCTCCCCATGGACGATACATGCTAAACATTGAATAAATATTGAATACATGGATGGATGGATGGATGGATGGATGGATGGATGGATGGATGGGTGGATGGATGGGTGGATGGATGGGTGGGTGGGTGGGTGGATGGATGGGTGGATGGATGGATGGATGGGTGGATGGGTGGATGGGTGGATGGATGGATGGATGGATGGATGGATGGATGGGTGAATAGATGCTAGATGGGTGGGTGAGTGATGGATGATGGACAGATAGACTTCGAATTTGAACTAAAGATCTTGAAGTAGGGGCAGCTTTATGAAAATTAAGCAACATGATGTCCTAGGATACATTTGGTAAACCCTAAAATTATGTGCGTAAATTATTCCTGTGAGATTTATATTCTTTATACTTCACCTCTTCTTGAAAACATTCTGAGGCTCCTGTGAGGTCTTCGTTCCAGTGGATGTTGATTCTGGTGGGTCTGACCCGCCAACATGGACAAAATGGGCTGGTGATCCCTGTCCACCATCTGCCCTCTGCTGTTTTGTCTGGACCCCAAGAACATGCAGTGGGAAAACGGGCCAACACTCCACTCACCCTTCATCCCACAGCACCGAAGTGTCCTCAGAAAGAGAGGACTGCAGAAAAATCAGAGTTTTATTTATTAATCATTTCTATTTTATTCTTTATCTTATTATATGTCTGATATTTTCAGCTAATCTTAACTCCAAAATTCATCTTGTCTGAAAGAAAGGAAATCCTTAGGAACACTAGGCAATTTTGAGTGTTTAAACGATAGGCTGGATTAACCACACCGAGTCCCTGGCCAAAGAAGGGGAGTGGAGAGCTGTGCAGTCTTCTGCATCCTTGACCTCTAGACCAGTGGTTCTCCGTGGTTCTCAACCGGGGTGGGGCTGGTTCACTCCAGGGGAATTTGACAATATGTGAATAAATGTTTGATTGTCACTGCTGGGACGTGGGGGTGTTTGGTGTCTGGTGTGCCAAAGGCAGGAATGTTCCGAAGCATTTCACATGCATGAGATTTCGCCCTCCCTCCACCCCAAATACACACACACAGAATTGTCTGGTCCAAAATATCACTAGAGCAGGTGCAGAGAAACCCTGGTCCAGAGGCAGTAGAAACAGCCAAGGGCCTGAGAGGATCGTGAGTCACAGAAAAGAAAGGAAGATTTTAGTGAGAAAGTGACACGTAGCACACTGAACTTTTAAGGATCTCCAATGAGTAATCTGCCCCCTCTCCTTGGGTAACCCCAGATGGTTGGAACAACGTGTCTGGGACTGCCGTGCCTTCATTTCTCTTAGGGACTGACTTACTGCTAAATCCTGCAATTGAATAAGACTAAACAGAAATGCCCTCTTGCTGGAGCAAAATATCAAGTTCACAGAAGGCTATTTGGGGAAGAAAAAATCAAGAGCCATGTTGCTGGTGGCCTCCTTGAAGAGGAAAAGCCAAGTCATTCTGCTGCAGCCGTCGCACACTTTGGGTGTCTGGAGTTGTCTGATTAAACTTGCCTTTCTAGTTAGAGAAATCTGCCTTACTGTCCGTTGATAACTTCCTTTGAGAATCATTACTGTAATTAACTCACTATCCAAGGACTGGAGTAAAATGCTTGGATTTTAAACGGGGAGTGGGGGGAATGACCATATTTTACCAAAAATCTAAAGTAGGTAATAAAATGTTAAGTGGTACAAGGTGGGCTTCCAAGGGACTCTTGGACAGGTGAGAGAAACCGGGTATGGCTTTAATTGGCTCTTTAATGATTCCCTATTTCTGTCTTCTGCCTTTTTTTTTTTTTTCCTGAGGGGGGAAAACCCCTTAAAACAGAAAGGTTAATCTAACTCTACATTTTAAGCTTTTAAAGGCTCCATTACAAGACTGATTATGCGAAAAGAAGCATACCTGGCGCACTGCAGCTTCTAGACGCATGTAATGATTCACTTAAAACACCGTGGTCAGGATTCTCTCACATTATTTCTATGTAAATTGGATGCTTCACAATTACTATAATACGTGTGAAATTTCACTTATTATTTCTTTTAACATAGAAACTTTTATCACTTAACTCACTGGACAGAATATTTGAGCCATTTGCAATCATTAGAGCATTTTTGTTTGGTCAAACCCTATGGGATTATACTTCGGAAAAGACAGAGTGAATTATATTCATTACAAGAAAACAGCAATTTTAAATATATAAGGGGCACCAGGAAACTTTTCATTTTAGTGCAAATTCAATATTATATCTTACTTCTTTTTATAGCGGGGCAAGCCTTTTATCTTTAAGCAATTTATAAAACCCAGCAGGTAATGGGAGTGAGTCGTGCAGGGAGAGATGAGTCTGATAGATAAATACACACTTTGGAGACAGATGGAAGATGTGATATCCTTGGATTTAAGGTAATAGCTTTGTACTTTGGAAGTTTTTCCTTGTGATCTCGGTGGAGGTTACAGATTGTTTACTCACGTCTCCCGAGATCGGCGTGGAGCGTTTATCCAAACTCTCCACCCTCAGCCCCCCAGTGCCCTCCTTTCACAGCTGGGCAGACACCCGGGCTGGCCTGTGAGTGAGCTGGAGTGACGTGCCCTCCCTCGGAAAATGAACACTCAACCCACCTCTGCGGGGCCAGCTGGCTGCTCACGGGCCCTCACTTTGAAGAACATAGAATTGTTTCACATAGATTTGAGGAAGAAAAACAAAATCAGAAAAGAGAAGAGGTATTCCTAGCTATTAAGCTGATTTCTTTTTGCGTTGAGGGGCCTGTTTGTGAATCTAACACATGAGAAAAACACAACTCGGCATCTTTGGAAGAACGTCTTCTGCCTTAGTCATTTGGGATGCTTTTCTTTTGGCAGAAAACAAAACAAAACAAAACAAAACAAAAAGACCAGCAATTAAATGGAGCTCTGCACAGATACATCCTGAATGTTAAGACAAAGTATAGGTATGTTGGTTTTTAATAAGTGATTGAGGAAATTAAATTTAGACCTTGATTAATGTCTAGCTATATAAACACATCAAAATTATTGAGGCAGGTTTATTTTATTTTTCATGTTTTTTGTGTTATTTTAAAATGAGATGATTTTTGAGTGACATAAGATATTTATTTCCCAAATTTTCTTCTCCAAACTATTCTCTTTAACCATTAAAGACAAGACGGAAACTTTCAATTCTTTTGAGAGCACTTACATATGGAATAAGAATTATTATTTTTATTTGGATTGTGATTATCTTTTTTTTAGCTGTATTCCTCAAAAAGAAGACATTTACATCCCCCCAGAAATCGAATACGAAAGTTATAATCTCTCTATTTATGTAGTGTTACTTCACATTTTGTTAGTAATCTTTTTAGACATATATAGGAAATTGAAATATGCCACGTAATATGTAAACCCAGAGCTGCATATTTGTCTGTATTTGTGTGTGTGAGAGAGAGACAGAGAGAGGGGGGAGGAGAGAGAGAGAGAGAAATTTAGAAAAGAATAGTTAATAATATTGTGCTTTTTCATCTGGAAGTTAACTTGTATAGACACTATTGGAATGATATTAATGCTATTAATAGTCAAATATATAATGGGTCCAACTTTGTCCTATAGGTAGATGTTTATTTGTAAATAAAAGATGGAGCCTGAAATTCAAGGTCATGCCATGCTCGAGGGAAGAACAGTAGAGGAAGGCAGGCAGGCAGTCCGGGGGGCCGCACCCTACCTCAGCACGCGGGAGGGAAGAGAGCGTTGGCAAAGCCCCCAGTTCCCCCAGCCGGATGGCAGCCACAAGCTGCAGGTACCACGCACACGGGCAATTTAGGTCATAGGACTGCGGGTCTTGTAGGCTCAGGAATGAAGGACATGCACACACACGCATACACAAGTAGCATAATTCCTGCAGATGCCTGGGAGAAAGGCAGCTACTAAGTACCGGATAAAGTACACTCGATACATAGTAGGCGAAATAAAATGTATAAACATTGTATATTCATTCTTCCTTTGCTCTTCGGTAGAAATGAATGCGTTGGAGACACTGAGACTGTCTGCAGACTTCCAAAGAGGGGTAGACACCCTAAGAGAATTCAAGAAAGAAACCTGAGGGACGGACACTGCCTACCCCCTTTAGGTTCAATTATTAGAGCAGACTATTTTATACATTTTAAACTGATAATGTATTCATAGCTAAAGCAGAGGAAAACCCGGTGCATTTTTTATTCCTTTTTTTTTCAGCCTGCATATTTTCAAAGACCTCCTATAGTTAACATTATAATATAGTTAGTTGCTACAAATAATCGGGGGTGATTATAGGAAAACTGTCAGTGTCTGCTCACGGTCTGAAAAGGCTGCAGCAAATAGCTTTTCTCTTTGCCATGGAGACTGGGGCCTGTTTTTACGGTTACTCTGGAAACCGGAGGCTTTCTGTTGTTCGTCCTTTTCAGTTACTTCAGCTATTAAACCCTCCGGTTGAGACAAAAGGAAGGAGGTATGCAGACACTTCCTCGGAGAGAAAACCTCTGGGCCTAAGAACAGCAAAACTCAGGATGAGAGAGAAAAGCGGTGTCTGTGGGTCTGGCGTTTTTCTCAGGGAGGTGGCCGTCCTGCACTCTCTGGGAAGCTGCCTTTGAACCTTAGAATCTGGAACCAGGTTAGGGCGGCGCTGCCCCTCCCTCCTCCTCGGTCCTTCCCTCCCCAAAAGATGAAACGTGCGCCCGCTGTGGCTGACGCCCCAGAAGTGGAGCCTCGCGCGGCGCCCACGACCTCACCACTCCCAGCATCCAAAGTTCCTTCTGGCTGCACAGATGCAAGCCCAGCACCTTTCAGCACAAACGCGGGGCTTAGCCGCCTCGAGAGCACAAGTTTCGGATCCCCGAAAACAATGTGATGTTTTTACAATGCACATTCGCACGTGGAGAGACTGTGTGCATTTTATTTTGCTTTAAGAAATTGGAGCCAAAAATCATTAATATCTCCGTTATACGAATGGATCCAATAATAACCTAAAAAGATGAAAGACATTGAGTTGTCAAATAGTTTACAGAAAAGTGGAAAAAGTAATTTGGAATATGAAGTTATAAACAGAATCCTGGGTTATGGGCAAGCTAGATGGGTTCCTCTCTTCTTTTTTTTTTTTTGTTTGTTTGTTTGTTTGTTTCCTTCTTTCTTTTTCTTCCAAATAGGAACACTTTTTCACGTTAGGTAATTGTTTATTGTTGCCAGCATTTATGTTCATCTCGCCTTTTGGTTAAAGTGTTCTCTCCAGGGAAAGGAATTCTCCCTGGAAGAAACAGCTCACGAACTAGTCCCCAGATAATACGCTTCCCAACAGAGTGGTCCGTCCTGGCCTCGCCGGGGTCACACCGAGTAAAGGGAAACACGGCGCGGGCCCCGTGGCGATAAACTAAACTAGTCTCCAGTCAGCAAAGTATTCAGTCATCTTCCATTTGAACAATTAAATGCGTCACCCAAAAATCCCCACAACTGTCTTCCCTCCATCTGCCCAGTACCAAGGGTCCGCCCTGTCAGCAGAGTTAAAACTAAAACACTGGGTCTTAAAAGGAGCAAGCAAATTAATAACAGTTGATAGTTGTTAACGAGAAGCAGCGTTAAGAAAAAGAGGGGGAGAAAGAACTCTTTTTCGCCTGCTCACTGCTGTGCAGAGGTTTTAGTTATTTCAGATGGAAATGCAGAGCAGTGAAATGGCCAGCAGGCCGCACCCCTCCCTCCCCGTCCGCCTTGGGCACAACGGAGAGCTCCCGTGCCAGGCGGCTCCCACGGAACAGCTGGCGTTTGGCCGGGCAGGAGGGCACCTCACGCACCAGGAGCCGCTCTGCCCTCTCAGTTCTGGCACGTGGAAAACTGCAATAACAGAAACTTTGCGGTGAAGTAAAAATCGCAAAGCCCGTCCCCCTGGGAGGCCGTCACCGGCCCCGTCGGTGATGCTCTGGGGTGGCAATGTCTTCCGAGTGGCCCTATCCTCGCAGGATTCGGATTCTCAGAGGTGGAAGACAAAGGATTCAAGATGGCAGCAGCGCTGCACAGAAAGCCGGTGCAATTTCCAATAGTCCTGGTCCATCCTCAGACTGAATCCTGTTGATTTCTCTCCGAATGAAAATTCTATGAGAAGTGCATGAAAGGCTACTGGCCCTCATTACACGTATATTTAAAGAGATTTCTGATCCCAAATGGGTGCCATTAAGAATTTCTAACCATCATAAAGGTAGCTTTGGATCTGGAATAAGTATAAGGAGACTAACAAAACGGTCCATGCCCCCCACCCCAATTTATGTTGTTTGTCTTTTTGATAATGCCATTCATTCATTCATTCATTCATTCAGTTATTCTCGCGATAGTGATTCAGTGCCTGCTATGCGTTAGACCCTTTTACTGGTGCTGGAAAGATGTCATGAGCAAACTCAGGACGTGTTTGGGGAGGGCTCTTTTCAGATGCTGCGCAGGGGCTGCACGGCCGTCTCCATGTGTCCTGAAGGAGCAAAGGCAGGGAGAAGTTCCCCTTGATTAACTAACCTCTCATCATGATGTAGTGAAAATTAGATTGACCCAGGAAGATTGCACTTGTTACATATTCCCTTTCTCTTCCAGTTGTCTCTGATCCATCAGGATGAGAAAATCCCACCCTGTGTAGAGGCTGCGTTTTCTCAGTCCCACATGAAATTGCGATGCCTGTGTAGCTGTTTTTGCCCTGATGACGATGCTATGTTTTGGGTGAACTTTGGCTTGAGGCTTATGGCTCACTGTACACGTTTTCACCTTGATATCATGCCAGACACCAGCCTTCTAAATATTCCTTTTGTTTTGGCCTCATTATTAAAATTGTAATTGAATTTTAGTCAACTATAAGTAAATTAGTATTTTCTGTAACTTTGTCAAAGTACATTTTTTCCCTAAGTGAATTTGGTGGCTGCTTCAGAGATGCACATAAATTCTTAATTTGAATTTTTTACTATTGTTTGAAAATGGTTATGCAATATGTATGTCCTTTGTGTAATGTCAGACATAACTCTAGGGGTTTATATATTAAAGGCTGCCATCTTTTATAAATTGCTATTTAAAAGTGAATTGTTGCTCCTTTGAAAGTAGAGTTTTCCAAATGCTATAGCTTGTCATCTATCAGCCCAAATGCCAGATTCATGCTGTAATTCTGTATCAAGTTCAACCTTCCATTAAGAGGAATTCCATGGACTTGTGTGTGTTGAGGAATGCCTCAGACTGAGTAGTCATCCTCCTATGCCGCAAATGCCAAGTTCCAATAGAATCCCACTTACTCTGTTATGTTGTTCCTGGTTACCCCAGCTAAAAGTGAACTCTTTCTATCTGATTCTTAGCAGTTACTTCCTGTAAAGCTAATTTGACAGCTAAGGCTATTGTGTCTATAGTAGACACTAAAATAGTCTTTAGGTTGGGTGCAGTGGCTCACACCTGTAATCCCAGCACTTTGGGAGGCTGAGGCAGAAGGATCACTTGAGGTCAGAAGTTCGAGACCAGCCTGGCCAACATGGCAAAACCCCACCTTTACTAGAAATACAAAAGATTAGCCAGGCATGGTGGCAGGCACCTGTCATCCCAGCTACTCGAGAGGCTGAGGCAGGAGAATCGCTTGAACCTGGGAGGCAGAGGTTGCAGTGAGCTGAGATTGCGCCACTGCACTCCAGCCTGCACGACAGAGTGAGACTCGGTCTCAAAATAAATAAATAAATAAATAAATAAATAAATAAGTAATCTTTAGATTTTATTGTAATTTCAGTTCTCATTATGTTACGTCTCATCTTCCTAACTAGACGTTAACTCCTTGAGAGCAAGGCTCCTATTCTAAGCCTGTCTGTGCCTCCTTCCACCCCATCCCCATCTCCACCCCCAGTACGTGGTGTTCTGCCCTGCTCAAAATATTTCTTGTTGTTGTTGAGGTTGACTCATCAATACTAGCTGACGTGCATGCCTGAATTGAAATCACTTCTAATTTTAGAGGACAACAGGTTGGCGCTGTAGCCCAGCCCTCCCCACAGAGGCGTGAAAGCAATCACACGGATGCTGCTTCTGGTCTACCATGTCTGTGGGTGACAGATGACTAATTGGCACTCGGGAAGACTTGTAGGAGAATGTGCCTAGGACAGACCCAGAAATACTGTGGCCCAAAGTCTTGCAGTGCAGGGAGCCAGGAATGGCCAGGTTGGCCGGGGATCTGTCCTGGAGCGTGGGACTCATCCACTGTGTGAGCGTTTCCTTTGGGGTTGCTGTTTGCTCCCCTTCCCTTTCTCCACTCCCATTTTCCTGCTATGCTGACACTCACGCTAAGCGGAACTTTCGGCTTCATCCGTCTAACCTGGTCCTTTATGGTGCAGACCCCCAACACGTCAGAAACCCAGCACCTCGCATTAAAGGGTTGATTCGTAATGGGGGAAGAAGTGGCAGATTCTGCAGGTCTTTGATTTCAGTTGCATATTAAATAATATGATGCTCTCTGGGACAATAGGGCTTTTCAGAAAATACAGACACAGTTTATGAAGATTTTTAAAATTATATTTTAAATAGAATCCTGTATTTCCTCCTGGCTTTATAACTTGTGCAAAATATATCAAAAAAATATACAAAGTGAATGAAAAATCCTGAAAGCCACAGATGTGCAGGATTAATCTGTATATTTTTATGCAAAGGCCATTTTATGCCAGGACAGACAATAAACACATCCTTTTCCCTCCTCTCCAGTCTATTATTTGAATAGCTTCAGTACCCAGAAATTGTGTGCATTAATAGGTTGGTTGATCTAGTGGTTTATTCATTTGTCTGTTTGAGCCATAGACAATTGTTGGGGGGAGGCTCTGTAGGGAGATTGCCTTTGATGATTTTGTAAATACTTTGTTTATGTAAGTTTTATTTATTTGTGGGAAAGTACACAGTTTTCCAAAAGCCTCTTTTAGGTCAGAAATACTAGAAAAGAAGCGTCAGATATGAGAAGAGAAGGTCAATTTAAGGCTCCGAAGTCAATTCCCAAATGAAATGTTATCCCAGGAACATGCACATGTGTGGAATGATAGAATGGAATTTGCCCAATATCTTACCTGGTCTGAATACTTTCTAGAGAATTGCTGTTAGTACACAAAAGTCTAGACCTTTGCCCCCAAACACTTTCTGGGTCTCTCTGACTTGTCACTTCACCGAATGCTTTTGGGCCCCTTTCCCCTGATTTCTGACAGTGTCCCTCATCATGCGCTCACACACACACACACACACACACACACACACACACACACAGGCATGCACCCACATGCAAAAAACAAAAACAGCAAAAGGGATACTCAGGCAGCTTGCTCCAAGCAGGAGCCGGCCAGCACATTCAAGGTGAACGTTCTGAGACCGCATTTATGGCCCCGGAGTTTTGAAGGCAGGGGCTGTATCTGCACCACCACGGAGGAGCTGGGCTCTGTGTCCCCCACCGACCCACTGGAAAGCAGAGGCGGGGGCAGGTGCAAGAGGACACACCCGCCCTTTGACTCCACATAACTAGCACTTGAAGAGATGCACAGGTCTGCAGCTCTTGCCCACAATTAAACAAGAAAGCTAGAAGAGGAGGCTAGATCGATTCTAAACAAAGCCTAGGTAAGGGGGAGTTTCGGTGACAGCTGTTTTACGTAGCTGGCAGCCACAGCGCTGCATGCAACGCTTTGAAAAGGACAAAGAGTTTTCTTCCTGTTTACACTTTTTATTACTATATAAGATTAGGTCTGTTGCACACACAGAAGAGAAAGTCATTTTATTTTACACAAATCAGCTACTTAATTGAGATATATAGAATTTACCAATGAAATGAGTGATTTGATGTGAATAAAAGAGGTGGTGTGTTGTAAATCAACACTGACAGCCAAATGGGGAAAATTGACAGAGCACTGTAATCACTCCCAACATCCACTAAAGTTATTGATCCAGAACCTCTATAATCCCCTTCACATAACACAAGCAATTTCATATAATACCTGTAATAACGGCACATTCAACTCAAGTAGCCATCTGAAGCATTGCATGTAATGGTGAAGCAGGCCTCCGCTGAGTAAGTGTAACAACTAGAGCACAAAGCGCCAGTGCCTCTTGCCTTTCACAGGTAACAGCCTCCGATAAGAGCTAGTTTAGAAGATAAACAGTTCCTGATGCCAAGGAAAATGAGCTATTAATTGCTGGCTTGCTAAATATGTTGTAAAAGACGGTGAGCGGTGGATGCAACATGGGGAGAATTTAACTGGATTTGGGGGTTGATAAACTTCTTAGGTTATCCACACGCCTGCTATCTGATGTTAATTACAACAGAGGGAAGACAGCTGACGGGCGTTTAGCTGCTGGGTCATTACATCCTTCCCAGGTGTCTTTCCCATGCAATGTTCCTCCAGTTTTACAAGCTCCTTCTCGCACTGATGGATTATTCCGCAGCCTTATCAAAGCTTTGCCAGCTCCTCATTAATATATAGAGCAAGCCGCACTGTTCTATATATCATTGTCTTCCTCTTGGGGAGGGCTAATCAGTCAGCCATTATCAACCAGTCAGCAGAAGGCAGGCAATCAGACCTGACAGCAAAGAATCATGGGAGATCAGGGAAGGTTAAATGAGGCTGACAGTTGTGATAATGATGATTATACTATAAATTAAGATATGATGATAAAGGAGAATAAAAGACACAATCTGAAGCAATATTTGGTTTAACATGTCTCTCTTTTTCGTTACTGTTAAATGGCCATAACATTTATCACACCGAACAAGAATGGACGTTTAACTACCATGATAAAATGGGACAGCATCAGATTGAAAACCCAACAAGTTGTGATTACAATGTCAGGCACTTTTCCACTGGTTGAGAAAAAAACGGGAGATAGAGCATATGTTATAATCATTCATGCATTATTCTGTAGAATGAAAAGAAAATAGATCTATTTTAGAAATGTCTTTCAGCCTTCTAGATGGAAAACCAAAGGAAACAGTTAATATATTCTTCTGCTTCCAAGATCATTTTTATCAATGAAACAATAGGAAGTTAAGTGATAGTTCCTCCCATCATGCCTTCTCTCCGAAAGTGTATGTTTATTAGTAGCTGATTCAAAGACTGCAAAGGGAGCTCTGTGAATGTCTCCTTCCCTGTTGAATTTTGAAATAAAGGCAGCTAAAATCAACCAAATAGTTCCTGCGTGTGACTTTTCATAGGCTTACACTAAAACAAAAGTGAGTCACCATTTACTCTGCTTTCAAAAATTAAGGCGTAAAATACCAATGCAGCTAAACAGATTATTAAATTGCTTTTACTAATTCATTTCTTTAGGTATAGAGACTGTAAGCTTTGAAACCTAAAAGAGATTTTGATAGCTCCGCGTGGAAAAAAATGGAAAAATGTGGTCATATGTTCCTCTACAAACTCACATGTTGAATCTCGTCGTTTCTAACCTTTAAGCTTACTACACGTACAAAGATTGCCACTGTTATCCACAAACAGCATATGATTTTCACAAGACTTAGGCAATACCTGTGCATTATTATGTACCTGTTCATATGGGCAGGCCAACAGATGATATATTAGGAATTCCACAGTTCAATTTGCATCCACCGAGAGGACAACTTGGGTTCTTGATCTTGTTTTCAATTTTCTAGTAAAATCAGGGGTGGAGGGAAAAGAAGCCCCTTAATTCTCATTCATTTCCTTTGAAAATTTGTCTTTTAGCTGGAAAAGGAAAAAAACAATTAGAGTCGAAAATATTCCACTTTGCCCTTTTCTTGTTTTTAAATTTCAGAAGCTGGGACGTTGGAAGAATAAAAAGTTAGCGGTTCTTTCAGCTGCATCTGATATTCATGGGTGCCTGGGCGAGATCTCAGGTTGGATTTTTTTTTGCAACTAATGTTTGCCATTTAACCAGGGTTTCTCAACCTCGGCACCGCTGACAAGTAATTCTTAGTTGATGCAGGGAGCTGTCCATCCTGACCATAGTCGGGCATTTGGCGGCATTCCTGGCCAGGCTCTGTGTTCACCAGATGCCGGTGGCACTCCCTGCCCCCACAGCGTGACAACTGAAAGGGCGGGGGGGCATCTCCAGTTGAGAACATTGATTTCAGCCAATGCAGTTAGCATATAGCTAAACGGACATTATTATCTGTTGCTCTGGGACATCTTCCCAGTGAGGTCAGGGGTCGCCCTTCCATGGTGTGGCACAGGAAAAACGGGCTCCAGCACGTGGCTGTCAACGAACCTATGGCCAGTGCACTTCAAAGCAGCATAGTTACTACCTGATTTCTACTATTTAGCAGCGGAATGAAAAGTCTCCGTGTTTATCTAGACGTGAAAGGAAGTTGCCAGGCACGCTTTATAAACCTGTCAGTCGGTCAACAACACTTAAGTCAATCCCACGGTCTGGCACTGAAGTTTACCCTTAGGTAGCACCAAGAAGGTAGTTCTGAGGACTCAAAGAAGGGCCAAGGACACGTTCCAGCATTTGGGTAAAAGGCATTTCCTGTATATCTGTTAATTGCGATCTAGGACCATCTACTCACATGTCGTGTGTATCAAATTTTCATCATGAAGTTGCACATTTTACACGTAAGCATTCATGGTCAAAGATCACTTTGCTGCCTTCCCTGCAAGGCTTATTGCTTCAGAATCGCATCCACGGGCTTTATGAAGATGGGGGTTGTGCTCGGCCATTTATCCTCCCTGTGATCGGGCTTGCACGAGGCTTTTATTAAACAGGCGGAGCTGTCTGGCTTGGTGCTCCACGGCCTTCCCTGGGGCTCCTGGCAGATTGAGTGCATGCCAAGGGCTCAGTCTGGGGAGGACAGGGCAGTCATCGTCTGGACTTAAGATATTTTGAGATGGCATCTTTCTCCCAAGACATGGGGTGTGCCTGGTGGGGGCTGGAGACAGAGAATCTGGAATGTGAGCTCGGCTCTCTTTTGGGGCATTTTGGTGGAGCAGAGTTCTCTGTCTGGGTAGCAGCCCTCCCTGTCATGGGTATTTCGAGGTCATCTCCACCACCATCTGCACGCATGCAAATGGTAGAACATAATTTACGAAGGACTTAAGATTTAGGGTCCTGCACAATGAAAACCAAAACAGCCTCCTTATTCCTGGTGAAAGGAGTCGTAGATGAGTTTCGGGTGCCTTCAAAACAGCCAGGATGCGGACGCGAGCCCGGCGGCCGCCTTCTGGCTCGCAGAGGCTCAGAGAGCTCTCTCAATCCATTTATAGTCTGGCACTCGGATGTGCGGTTATCATTTGGCGGTCGGTTCTAATTTTGGCACATAAGCCGCAGGCAGGAAAATATCTTGCTCCTTAGTCCATTTTATTAACTTTGTTTTGTTCGCTTGAGCCTAGCACTGTATTAGCCTCTGAATAATCACAGCTGTACAGGTAGCTCCCAGAGAGTGAATGAGAGGCTTTTCCAAGGGCCCTGCTCCCTGCAGAAATGATTTGTACCTCTGGCTGATTGTCACTAACAGAAAATGAGAACGAGGAAAATTCAATGCAAAGTAATGTGTTCTGTACAATTACTAGATTAATAATTTTATTCCATTACTGTGTGGGGAGAGAGGACATCAGCCTGAAGATCTGCAATTCTAGGATATTTCTAAGCGTCCTGTTAAAAGAGTGAGCAAGGGTCAGGAAACTTAATTATGCTATAACTAGATAGAAATTGCCAAGTGATAAAAAGAAACATCCAGACAGATTCAGCAGGAAATTACAGCTTTAATAATATAGTATAATGCCTACTTCTATACAATTATTGGAGAGACCCTGAATGGTTCAGAATAACAGGCTTAGGTTTCTAGTAACTACCAAAAAACCCCCCACTAAAAATGACATTTTGCTTCTTGCTGTAAATATTTTTTCCAAAAAAAAAGCATTATTTGATCATCAAAAATCTTATACTCACTTGTGACCGGATACTATGGTCACAGTGACTTTTTGGAGTGATGAAAGGGTTAGATTATAACGGGTAATTTATATTTGCAAATTAAATTTCCAGAGTCATAATTTTAAGTAAAAAAAAAAAGTCTACTGCATTTAGTCTTTCAGAAAATAAAATAAAAAAAAAAACTAAACTATAAAACAAACCACATCCTGTCCCCTCTGAGCTCATGTGGAGGTTTATGGGGGGAACAGTTTACTTCAATATATGCCTGGGGAGGGGGAGATTAAAGAGGAGGAGTGTTGATATTAATAAGTGCAGACGCCTGATAGCTATTCCATGACTTCAGAAATGAGGAAGGGAGAACTTTCTAAAGGTCAGGATAAGCCAGGCCTAAAGCGAAGAAGCTATGTTTTGCAAACACGACAAGCTGTTTTAAATATCAGAGCCTCACCATTCACAGACACTGGCACGTGGTGCTGCGACCCTCCTCCTCGTTGTGTTTGGCCCTTTTTTCCTCTCTTATGGGGAGGAAAAGCCATTTCTTGTGCTCGCCCAGGAGAGCCCAATGTTTCATTTTGTATTCTAAGGACGCAGATTAATCAGCCGGCTCCCTTACCCAGAGATGGCCATTCTGCCCAGAAATCTGCATATCTGCATATGGCTGTTCTTCTCCGAATTTAATTTCCTACAGGAACTGATATTAATCACCCTGTTTAAACAGAGGGGATTTGGGGTCTATACAAATGTGACATTTTTTTTCCTTGCAGAACTTGCAGACTATTTTCCCTTTTTTTCCCGATTTAAAGGGACAATAGCTTTACTAGCTTAATCCTAAAGAGTTGCTGCTATTGCATTTTATTTTTATTTGACTGTTGATTATTTGGAAGGTAACAGTGAACCCAGATTTCACTTCTTAGACTTCAGAAAAGTGTTCAATTGATTTGGAAGTAGAAAGTCCCCTGCATTTCAGCGATGATGACTTGGTTTTTCTGTGAGAAGTCCCTTTATCTCTCAGGCTAAAGCAAGGAGAGACGCGCAGCGAGAACAACAAAACCTTCTAAATAGCCTCGCAGCATCCTTGGCGGATTATGTGTAGGAAAGTTAAATTCATTGGTGGCCGGTGTCCCTGCCAGGGTTATCTGGCATATTTTATTCAGTCTGCGTGCGGTGCGGGGGTGGCCGGGGCAGAAGTGTGAGACAGACAATCAGGCGCTGAGAAAAATGAGCAGTGTGTGTGGCTCGTGCCAGCTGGAAGCAGGGGTCGCAGTGGTGACCAGGGGAGGCACTGCTCTTGTGAAAACGGAGGATGTTGTCTGGGGTTTCGTTGCGACTCATGCCTTGGCCTCTCTTGGCCACAGAGGTTCATTTGGGTTGGTGTTTCTTCCGCTGGGCCACGTGCGGTGGCCTTGGAGACCATGTGGGCAGGGAGCGGGGACAGGTTTGACAGGCGTGTTCCATGGCAGAGAAGCTGCCCTGGGACTGGTGGCCTCCTGCCCCAGCAGGAGGGCCTCTGCTTGGACTGAAGCGAGGCCAGGGGCTGGGTGGCTCGCTCCCACAGAGGTCAGAAGCTGGGTTTTGGATGTCTAGTGCTTGCTGCCATGATTAGCAACCCCTTAGGTTGAGAGGCATACCCAGGGCAGCGTCCTCCTTTACCTCCCACAAGGTCAGAAGGAGCCTTCCAGAAGGGATCAGAACTTCCACAGCTCCAAGTTCTTGCCACCAGCGGCCGTGTCCCTTACAAACCAAGGCAGAGGCAAAAATGAAACCATATTCTCTTCTTTCTCTACTAAAAACATGGCGTTTCTCTCATTAAATAACTTCCTCCTCAAATTCGTGTATGCCACAAAATGGCAACTTGGAGCTGGTTTCGGAGTCACCCCAATGAAATGTTTGTGGCGCGAGTGAGACATGCGTCAGGCGTGGGATGCAAAGGCCTGCCACGGAGGCGGAGATTGTGGGATTCCTGCCATTCTCCCCGAACACCTAGGCTGCTGGATTTCCCTTGCCCATTGTAAATCACAAGGGTATCACCCCAGGCACATAGCGGCTTAGATTGTTTATCTGCTTGGGCTAATAGCATTTTATTTGAAGTCTGAGAAGTCCCAAGTGGCTTAAAAGGGCATTATTACACGGCTTCACGTTTTATTGCAAAATGACGAGGTCCCACTTCTTTTCCTTGGCTTTGAAGTCTTAATGCTGCCTGGCTGTCAGGGCCGCGTCTTTTCTAGTTTAAACTTTAAGCAGGATCCCCTTGAAACAAGACTCTTTCTTCTGCAAGGAGTGAGGACCAGTTAACAACTTGTGAAAATATTGTTCCCAAGACAGTAAAGTGGCCGTCACCAGTGTGGTGCAGCTCACTAGTTGGTGTATTGCCAACCAGTCAGAGAAAGGCAATAACCAGTTTGATGATGCGTTTCTAATTCAGGGAGTATATCTGACAATATTGATGGATACTCATTTTCTGCTAATTATTTAAAAGAAAAACATTTCCCATTGCCTACCCTCTACCCTGACATATATGCATGCACAGGAAAGGTGTTGGAAAGTTGCAACTTTCTTGGCGTAATCAATACATTCATTCATTAAAAAACAAAAACTGCATCCCAATGTTGGCACAGCTTCAAGCAGAGTTCCAGCCTGAGGAGTGTGTGCAGGGCTCGGGGCAGACACAGCCCGGAGGGAGGGAGGGGTAGTGGAGGAACAGCCCACCTACTGTTGGCACCTTTAACCGTAGGACCAGAACCCGACACAGGTGTCGAGGAAGCAGAGCTGACAGTGAGGGTTAGCCTGGCCTGGCCTCTGCAGAGTTGCCCGGTCATCCTGTGCGTGTGTAGACAGAAAACACCCGTGATCACAGAGCAGAGGTAGTGAGGAACACGTAAAGGAAGCTCTTTCAGATTGGGTTACAGACCAAAAGTTGAACTGGTTGGTCTGAGAAAGTCAAGGAGTGTGTGTGTGTGTGTGTGTGCGCGCGCATGCACGCGCATGTGCACACACGTATGGGTGTGCATGTGTGTATTTGTGTGTGTGTACTGTGTGTATATGTGTGTGTGCATGTGGTATCCATGTGTGTATATGAATGTGTGTGTGTGCGTGTGGTGTCTGTGCACTAATATGGATGTGTGTAATTGTGCATGTGACCGTGTGCACATATGGATGTGCATGTTTGTGTGTGTGTGCATGTGTCCATGTACATATATGTATGTGATTGTGTGTATATGTGGTGTCCGTGTGTATTTGTCCATGTGCATGTAATGACCACATGCATATATGTTTGTGTATGTGGTGTCCACGTGCATATGTAAATGTGTGTGGTTGTGTGTGCATGTGTTGTCTGTGTATGTATATGTGTGTAATTGTGTGTGCGCGCATGTGGTGTCCATGTGCATATATAGATGTGATAGTGTGTGTGCATGTGGTATCCATGTGTGTATATGGATGTGTGTGTGTGCATGTGTGGTGTCCATGTGCGTATATAGATGTGTGTGATTGTGTGTGTGCATGTGGTATCCATGTGTGTATATGGTTGTGTGTAATTGTGTGTGTGCATGTTGTGTCCAGCTGTGTTTATGGATGTGTGTGTGTGTGTGTGGTGTCCATGTGCATATATGGATGTGTGTGATTGTATGTGTGCATGTGGTGTCCATGTGTGTTTATGGATGTATGTAATTATGTGTGTATGTGCACGTGGTGTCCAGCTGTGTATATGGATGTGTGTGATTGTGTGCACGTGGTGTCCAGCTGTGTATATGGATGTGTGTGATTGTGTGTGTGCACATGGCGTCCAGCTGTGTATATGGATGTGTGTGATTGTGTGTGTGCACGTGGCGTCCAGCTGTGTATATGGTTGTGTGTGATTGTGTGTGTGCACGTGGCGTCCAGCTGTGTATATGGATGTGTGTGATTGTGTGCATGTGGCGTCCAGCTGTGTATATGGATGTGTGTGATTGTGTGCACATGGTGTCCAGCTGTGTATATGGATGTGTGTAATTGTGTGTGTGCATGTGGTGTCCATGTGCATATATGGATGTGTGTGATTGCACGTGGTATCCAGCTGTGTATATGGATGTGTGTGATTGTGTGTGTGCACGTGGCGTCCAGCTGTGTATATGGATGTGTGTGATTGTGTGCACGTGGCGTCCAGCTGTGTATATGGATGTGTGTGATTGTGTGTGTGCACGTGGCGTCCAGCTGTGTATATGGATGTGTGTGATTGTGTGCACGTGGCATCCAGCTGTGTATATGGATGTGTGTGATTGTGTGTGTGCACGTGGCGTTCAGCTGTGTATATGGATGTGTGTGATTGTGTGCACGTGGCGTCCAGCTGTGTATATGGATGTGTGTGATTGTGTGTGTGCACGTGGCGTCCAGCTGTGTATATGGATGTGTGATTGTGTGTGTGCACGTGGTGTCCAGCTGTGTATATGGATGTGTGTGATTGTGCACGTGGTGTCCAGCTGTGTATATGGATGTGTGATTGTGTGCACGTGGCATCCAGCTGTGTATATGGATGTGTGTGATTGTGTGTGTGCACGTAGTGTCCAGCTGTGTATATGGATGTGTGTGATTGTGTGCACGTGGTGTCCAGCTGTGTATATGGATGTGTGTGATTGTGTGCACGTGGTGTCCAGCTGTGTATATGGATGTGTGTGATTGTGTGTGTGCACGTGGCGTCCAGCTGTGTATATGGATGTGTGTGATTGTGTGTGTGCACGTGGCGTCCAGCTGTGTATATGGATGTGTGTGATTGTGTGCACGTGGCGTCCAGCTGTGTATATGGATGTGTGTGATTGTGTGTGTGCACGTGGTGTCCAGCTGTGTATATGGATGTGTGTGATTGTGTGTGTGCATGTGGCATCCAGCTGTTTATATGGATGTGTGTGATTGTGTGCATGTGGTGTCCAGCTGTGTATATGGATGTGTGATTGTGTGCACGTGGCATCCAGCTGTGTATATGGATGTGTGTGATTGTGTGTGTGCACGTAGTGTCCAGCTGTGTATATGGATGTGTGTGATTGTGTGCACGTGGTGTCCAGCTGTGTATATGGATGTGTGTGATTGTGTGCATGTGGTGTCCAGTTGTGTATATGGATGTGTGTGTCCATGTGCATGTAGTGTCCATGTGCGTATAAGGATGTGTGTGATTGTGTGTGCATGTGGCATGTGTATGTGCACATGTTTGTGCTTCTGTGTGTACACATATGTGTGTGATGTGTGCATGTGTGTACTTCAGGATTAGATTAATGTACATTATCTCCCAGGTCACATTTTCTAGAGAAGCTCCCTGGGTCTTCAGCTGGGTGCTGTAGGAATAAGCCACCAAGGAGCATTTCTCTAATACCTGGGACTTTCCTGGGGTACATCCACCCTCACCATGTGGCTGGCACTCCCTGGAGCCGTGTGGCTCAGCAGTCCCGCTTAAAAAACCAAATATCAAGGAAATGAGCTCCCAGCTCCACACTGAGGACTCTTTCTTGATATTTGCAGTGGCGCCTGTGGGTAAAATTTGACTCTAATTGGAGCTGCAATGTTTGAAGCCACGCTGAGCTCCTGGGGCAGCAGAGGATCTGGGGGCTTTCTGGAGCCTTGATATCCTGGTGGTAGTCTCCGAGTCCACCACACAGACCCCTCTCTGGGTAACGACAGCCCTCTGGGGTCCGTTCCATTCATCCAACCCGTACTGAACGGTCTTCATTTGCCTGGGTCAGTGGGATCCAGACACAAGGGTGGCCCCGGCCCAGGAACTGCTCGAGCAGCAGGGCGTCTCCTCTGCGGCTGAGCTCTGAGGTGCTGGATGCACCTTCCAGCTGGGTGGTTCCACTGTCAGCCACAGAACCGGCTGCTACATCTCAGGAGAGCTGGCGTTCCTCGTGCCCTTCCTCTGTGCCAGGTATGACGCTGAAGCTGGCTGTGGGTTGCCTTGCTCCATTCCCACAGCAAGCCTATTTCACAGAAAAATAAATGGAAGTTCTAGCAGTTTAAGTGATTTCCTTAATTAGCTAGAAAGTGGCAGAACATGGATTCGAACTGAGGCCAGTGACATCACAGCCTGGCATCACTTGTGACCACGTTCCCTCTCCATTTGTTGTTGAAAATTTAGTGCAGATGTGGAAAAGTAAGATTCTTGGGGGGATCTCATTGTCGACCCAGACAAAACTTGAGGGATGTTCTTTGCTGATCCACACATCACTGACTGGCTCGCCGTGTCGTGGCCGTGCATTTAAACCTTCATCCCAGCCCTCCGTGTGCAGGGAGGGGGACAAAGATTATTCCCGCCCCCACAGTGAGGGTAAATAAGAGCAGCATCTTTGAACATCAGTCCTCTGGTATGTGCGAAATAGGCATTGGCATAGAGATTCCATGGTGCCCAGGGCATTGTTCCTTCTTAGGAAACCAGGGGTAGCACCATCAAGAGCTGCAGACACACAGAGCTGTGCTTTGCTTTTATTTCCTTTTTTGCCATGCAATTCTATTTATTTCATCCAGAAGTCACTAGATAGCCCACTCTACAGATACTAGTGTAGGGGAGATGTTTGTCAGAAGAAAGGTAATTGACGGCAAATGTCAAATATTAAATCCTATCTGGTTATTACCCAGCGTATTAGCTATGTAAGTAGCTTAACAATTACAGCTGTGATTGACTAGGTGGGAACCAAAATCCTAAACATCAACTGCCAGAAGGGTAATTATAACACATTAGCACCTGCTTAGACAAGATTGACAACTCCAGTCTAACATCTGCTTAATATCACTTTCATACTTTTCATGCATTTTCTTCCCTTTTGAATGGAGCAACATAAGATTTCCTGGAGGATAACAAAAACCCCACATCCATGTGATTCATCCACGGTCCTACAGCAGCTCCTTGTCTTTGGTCACGGTTTCCTGCTGACACATTTACAACTGAGTGAAATGCAGAGAAACGGGCTTTAGGGGACCAGGCAGGCACAGTTGTGGTACATTCTAGCAAAACATTCCTGTCAAACCAACGCATTGAAAGAAATCCCAAAATGTAATATTTAGTTAGTTGGTTGACAACAAACAGTAGGAATACATATATATATATATGTGTGTGTGTGTGTGTGTGTGTATTTTAAGTACGCCTTCCTTAAATATATCGAGACATATCTAAGAGAAGCATATTCATATACTATAGGGCTTTATATGCCTATATATCTCTCAGATTGAAATGTACGAGAGTGGTCTCCACTCGCACAATTACAGCTGGGGAGCAGCATTAGCAGTCCTCGGAGACAGCACATTCCTGCCCAGGGGCTCATGCGGACCCAGGTGGCAGAGACAAAGGGCCACAGCACAGCCCTGCCTCCCCCTTCTGCACAGAAACACCTGAGCAGCACATTGAAGAAAGGAGCTGGGTCATTTTCCGGCTGGGCTATATTTCTCTGGAGCTAAAAGGCATAGAGTTCTTGCCCATATATTAGAATGAGGGTTAGAAATTCCTTTTAGTGGCTTCCTACCACCTAAGCAATTGTTCTTCATTGTCTGATGAAAATTGTTTTGTTTTTCAATATTCTCACTTTCGTTTCCTAGGGTAGGGGCCCAGGGAAGATTATTTCTGCCTGATAATATAATCACATGGTTAACCTTTCTGACTTAGCTGGGTGAATCCACATGAATTCCCAGTGAGGGTGCATTAGACAGACGACCACAGGATCAAACATGCAGGAAGTAGATTCTTCTCAGAGGGGCATATTTATTCAGTAATTTAAAAATATACATCCAGCTGGGCATGGTGGCCTATGCCTGTAATCCCAGCACTTTGGGAGGCTGAGGCAGGAGGATCACTTGAGGCTAAGAGTTCAAGTGAGACTCCATCTCAAAATAAAGTAAAAAATAATAAAAAATTAAATTAAATATAGCTGGGTATAGCGGCTCATGCCTGTAGTCCCAGCTACTTGGGAGGGAGGCTGAGGCTAGAGGATCACTCAAGTCCAGGAGTTAAAGGTTATAATAGCTGTGATGGCAGCACTGTGCTCCAGCCTGGGTGATAGGCCATGACTCTATCTCAAAAAACTAATCATTAAAATAAAATAATGCATTCGTTTATCTATTCACCCCATCACTCATATATTCTTTTATTTAACAAACCTTATTGAGCATCTGTTATGCATGGGACCCTCAGCCATAGCTGGACAGGCGTTCAAACAAGTGAGCATAAAAGCTGATTTCTAATAGCGTGAATTCTGAAAAGGAAGGCAACATGTCAACAAATAACCACAGCTTGATGGAGAGATACTACGTGGAGTTATTAGAACTCATTTGGACCGTGGAAGGCTTCGCAGGAGAGAAATTTGAGCTGGATCTTAGAGAAGGAAGATGACTTTCTTCAGGTGTTTAGAAGTTGGTGGGATTGGGGATCAGTATTCCAGGGAGAAGGAACAACCTCTAAAAAGGCGCTGACGTTCAATTAAGTCAACTGCATCCTCAGAAAATACCAAGAAGCCTAGCCTGGCCTGTGTTTCAGGAATGCCCTGCAGTTGACGAGGAAGCTGCGGGGACGTCCGGGGCTCTGGGGTCTCTTCCTGTCCAGGAGAAGCCATGAGAGCACTTTAAACTAGATGAGAACTGGCCCAAGCTGCGTTTTCTAAGCTTTACGCTGGGTGCCACGTGCAGATCTGTTTCAGGAAAAAGCTGAGGTCGGAGGAGCGGACCTTGTGGAAATCCAGAGGGGAAGGTGTATGCGGCAGTGTGCAGAGGGGCGGGGGACGGAAGCAGGGCGCCGACGCAGGGGACTTGGGGAGAGATGGAAGCTGGGAAGTGCACAGTGTACGGGAGAGAAGATTCTGGAATTACCCCCCATCTTGGCTGCTGGATGAAGAGCGGTGTGTCAACAGGCCAGAGACCAAGCAGTGGTTTGGGATGGAAGAGAGAGTTTGGTTTTGGACACATCGAGCTCATTGGTTTGTTTCCTTTTTTGCTTAATATATAATGATTAATTCTTGCTCTTAATGGAAACAGTAAGTTTGAAAACCTAAAAACTCATGGTTTAGTGCCAACGTTGTAAACAGGTCATTTGTTTCTTAGAAATGGAGGCCACAAGACTACCCGGCGGGTGGTTCTCCTTCTGGATGTGAGAACACAGGACACGGGAAGTGACCTGAGAGGTGGTGCCTGGAAAGCCAGGACAGATCCGATGGTGTCCTGTGCCCGAGGGCCGTGGTCAGGGCCTTCCGTGTGGGACACGTGTGGGAGCAGGTCTTGGCTTCAGCTCATCCGTCCTGTCGTTTCTGCGGGAGGCTCAGGCGCCCACCCCTCCCCGAAGGCATTGCCGCTCCTCTCAGTCACAGGGCACAGGGCCCTAGAACATAAGGCACCACCCACCTGATTCCCACTCATCCAATTCTCACTCAACAGACACTTATTGAGCACTTGCTGTATGCCAGGCATGCTTCCAGGCACTGGGAACTCAACAGTGGAGGAAACAGACAAGACGGTGCCTTCCTGGACTTGTCTGACATGGGGGCAGGGAAATTGACAGGCAATCGGCAGATGTGAGAGCCACGCTCCAGGGGGTCACAAGGTCATGAGCACAAGACAGCGTGGGGGGTAGGGTACCTGGGGAGGGGTTGCCACCTCATGCTGGGATGTCCAGGTGGCTTTGGAGAGGACCTGAAGGAGGACAGCTTTGGAGAGGAGCTGAAGGAGGACAGCAAGGGAGCCATGTGGTTCCCACACCCAGAAGGTGCCCTCCTTGAGGTCCTTTGTGTTAGTCGGATGCAGGGGGGCACAGGCTCTCTGGACAGCAGCCTCTGACTGGCTTAGCCTGGTCTAGGCCCTGAGTGGGGGGTCTTCGTGTCCAGCTGTGATCTGGTCCCTGTCCCTAAGGAGTTTACCACATATGAGGAGAAACAATCATAGAACCAAAATACAAATGAGGCACATGTTTCCTGGGGAGGAGGGGCTGGGGGCCCCTGCAGCCGAGACCCCCAGTGTCATCTGGGCAGTCAGAAACCATAGCCTTGGAAAGTGCTATCCTGACTGAATCCTGAGAGATGAGTAGGACTTAGTGAGGCAAACGAGTCATTTCCCTCACAGGTTTGGCTTCTGAAAACTTGATTTTAAAAAAATCACCACAATCAAATAAATCATCTTTACAATAGTGGTCAAACTGATAGCATAATAGCAGCCCTTGTGAGTGTGAGTCGGCATCTATAGGATAGGGACTGGATTTGCAAGCACAAAAATGAGTTCGTGCAATAACAAAGCCTTGCCTTGTGCTTGCTCTCCTCTCAAAATTATGCCGTTCTATTGGAGAAGAACATACCTAGTGAATAATTAAAGGAAAGGATTTGGTATGCAGATGCTATTAATAATCTTTATGTTAAGAAGGCATTCATTAAATAAGTCCCTGACATTCTGAGGGCACAGTTTTGCTGGAATAAGGATTGCCTAAGAGTGGGTATGGATTCCTAGATCAGTCCGGATAAAAGATACAAAGGAGGGGAACTGCCTTGATTGGAGAGTCACAACATCCAGGCTAATTCTCCAGGAATTCGCCTCTGGACCTGGGAACACAGGACGCGGGAACTCACCTGGGCAGTGGTGTCTGGGAAGCAGGGGCGGATCCGGTGGCATCCTGAACCAAGAACCATGGACAGGGCCCTCTGTGAGGGACATGCATGGGAGCGGGTCTCAGCTTCAGTCATGGTGGGCTGCCTTTGTCTACACGCACAGGGCCCTCCGGGGTTGCTTCGGGTGGTGCTCTCTTCTGGAAATCATGGAGCCTTCTCCCAGGGAAGTTGATTATGGAGGAGGCAGCAGGTGTGAGCTCCCGGAAATGCGGCTTCTTGGGAAGGAGGCTGAGTTGTGGAGCCAGCACCTCCCAACCTCTGATTCGTCCTCTGCCCAAAGGGTGCCTTTGCCTGGTGGTAGACGTGCCCTCAGCTCAGCCAAGTCCATGGTGCTGAAAGAGAAAATGTAGACTTAAACAGACCTGCACTCCATCCAGACGCACAGAGTGAACATGCGTCTTAGGACATGGAGTGTGTTGTCTATATTTAAAAAATACATGTGAGGCCAGGAGTGGTGGCTCACGCCTGTAATCCCAGCACTTTGGGAGGCCAAGGTGGGAGGATCACCTGAGATCAGGAGTTCAAGGCCAGCCTAGCCAACATGGTGACACCCCGTCTCTATTAAAACCACAAAAATTAGCCAGGAATGGTGGTGGGCACCTGTAATCCCAGCTACTCTGGGGGCTGAGGCAGGAGAATCGTTTGAACCCGAGAGGCAGAGGTTGCAGTGAGCCGAGATCGTGGACCCAGGCACTCCAGCCTGGGTGACACAGCAAGACTCCATCTCAAAAAACAAAAACAAAAACAAAAGAACCGTGGTTACCTCTTGCCTCTTTTTCTCTTTAGTAGCTCTATCCTTCATGCTTCATTTCTGCTTTCAGTTATGTTATCAACAAGTGGTCCTGCTTCAAATCGTGTGCACTTGGTTTTTGGCTATTCATACTGGGCATGGTAGAAATCCAAGAGGTTGCTGAAAGTGAAAGAAACAATGGCTCATGAAAGCTAAACAGAATCCTCTCTTAGATTTGAGAGAGTAAGAAATTAGATTTGGGGGACATGAACTGTACAGACCCCCCGTTGTGCAAGGAACCATGACTCCCTAGCAAAGACCCCACGGAGCTCAGCGTTGCGCAAGCCTGTGTCGTGCACATCTGTGCCGCTGAGTAGAGGTGATGAACGGCGTCCACACTCGTCCTCATCTTCACACTGAAAGTACTCTCTGGATGTTGCTTTACTGTGTTGGGTGTGTAGTTTGCAGGTATGCAGCAAGTGAGATGCAGAAATTAGTAAAATGTTGACTATGATAACAAAGATGACAGTCAGGATTGCTATTACTAAAAACGTACACAGCAAGTAAAGAATCTGGCCAAGGCAGACATTGTCAGGACAGTAATGGAGGCACAGTGGGACCCTCTCTTTTCTAGATGCCTACTTCTGTACACATGGAAATGCTGCTATTTTAGGAACAACAACTCCATATTGGGAGGGGATAATGCCAAGAAATCAATACCAGCTCTAATTGAAGCTACTGCTGCCGACAGCTGCCCCTCTCTTATGGCAGTTATCTCTGAGAAGAGATCCCACTCATGATCCTGTCTCTGAGGGAGAAGATTGGGAGCCCTCCAGGTGGATCCCTGCAACCTCCTGTCTGCCCCAGCAGTGGCCAAAATGGTCTGTGAAGGTGTGCGGCGTGGAGTGTGCTGGCCAGCTAGAGGCTGAGCCTCAGAGGATCTGCAGAGGGACAGTGGTGGACATGGGGGTGGTGAGATCCCGCATTTGTCCAGGAGAAGAATAGAGATGATATAGAAAAGGAGTATGAGAAAGAAATACGTAAGTAGGTTCTTCCAAAAACAACAGCTGCCTTTAAATGAAAGGGAAGACCCTGTCCGCTCGGGGTGGCCACATAAATTCCCCTTCTTCGGACTCCACTGGAGCTTGGGGTTTCCTGTTCCTTACCCCTCCCACCCCTGGCTCTCAGCCCGCTGCCTCCCATCTCCCCAAGAGCATGTGGGGAGAAGGCGGGAGGGAGGAGCTCTGAGTGACAGCATCCACATCCCGCCTGAGGTCTCCTCCTGCCACTGCCACAGAACGTGCACTTGGCTACAACCCCATCCTCTCCCTGACCTGACACACTGCCGTGTTCTGACTCATAAATCACCCTCATTTCTTCTTCTGCCCAGTAACTGTGGTGAACTGTACAGGCTCTCCCTGAGAAGTGGATGTCCTCAGCCTGCAATGCCCTGTGTCTGTGTATGACCCTATTTCCCGTACGAGGAATGGTGGAACATCTGAGGGGCCTAGAGGTGCCACCTGTGCTGTGCTGTAGAAATCATCACACACCCAGGGCTAACTAGGAGACAGCCACACAGTGGGATTCAGGAGAACCTGCCCACGGGTTCCCTCCTCACTCCACCGTCCTCTGCTAACCACGGATCTGTTCTCAACCCTACAGTTTTCCCTTTTCCAAAACATCCTATAAATAGAATCTTGCAGCATTGCAGCCTTTTGAAATTAGGTTCTTTCACTTAGCAAAATGAGTTCAAGATTTATCCATTTGTAGCATGAGTCAACTTTGTGCCTTTTTATAACTACTATCAACATTCATGTAAAACTACTATCAAATTCAGTCTTTTTTGTGAAAATAAAAGTTTTGAGATTCACCTGGGCAAATACCTAGAACTGGGATTGCTGGTTGTATTGCTCATGTATATTGAACTGCATAGGAAACTATCAAACTGTTTTAGAAAGTGGCTGTAAACATTCTCATGAGCAATGAATGAGAATTTCCATTTCTCTGCATCCTTGTCAGCAATTGCTGTTGTTAGCTTTTAAATTTTTATTCATTTCTTTTTATTTTAATTATTCCAATTGATGTGTAGTTAGCAGTATCTCATTGTGGTTTGGATTTGCATTTCCTTAATGACAGCTGATGTTGGGCATCTTTTTATAAATGTATTTGCCATTGATATATCTTCTTTAGTAAAGTATCTGATGAGATCTTTTGTCTATTTTTTATTGGGTTGTTTTCTTCTGGTTGAGTTTCAAGTATTCTTTATATATTCTGGGTATAATTTATTCAACAGATATGTGACTTACACGTATTTTCTATCAGGCCTGTAGCTTGTATTTTTATTCTCTTAATAAGTATTTTTCACAGAAGATAAATTTTTAATTTTGATGAAATACAATTTACCCATTTCTTTTTTATGGATCATGCTTTTGGTGTCATATCTTGAAACACGTCATAAACTGTGGGTCAGACAGGTTTTCTTCTAGAAGTTTTATCATTTTACATTTTATGTTCAGGGATATGATCTGCTTTGAGATACATTTTTGGATAAAGTATAAAGTGTATCTGAAGGTGTATTTGCATAGGAATGTTCAATATTTCAAACATTTTTAAAATGATATTTTCTTCATTGTTGCTGCCACTTTGCACAAAATCAGTTGGCTATAGTTTTATGGGTCTATTTCTGGACCCTATCCTGGTCCATTGATCTATGTGTCTATTCTTTTGTTAATACCACACTATCATGATTACTATACCATGATAGGAAGCATTGAAATTGGGTAATGTGAGGTCTTCTTTGTCAGAATCATCTTGGCTATTCTAGCTGCTTTGCCTTTGTACATAAATTTTAGAATCAACTTGTCAATATCTACAAAAAAACTTGCAGAGGTTGTGTTTAATCTGTAGATCAAATTGGAGAGAACTAACATCTTAACAGTCAGTTTTCTGCTCCACGAACATAGTATGTCTTTTCATTTATTTATAAAGGAAATGACCTTGATTTCTTTCATTGGTGTTTTAAGTTATTTGTGACATACAGATCCTGAACATATTTTATTAGATGTATACTTATGTACTTCCTTTTGGGATGTTATTTTTAAATAGTTTTTTTTTTATTTCAAATTCTAATTGTTTATTGGTGGTATCAAGAGCTCAGCTGAGCTGGAGAGACCTCAGCCACCAGGCATAGAGTAGCCTCCTAAGACAGCAAGACACATTATGAAGGCAGGACAGAGTCAGGCCTGTAACCACACACATAGTTGAGCAAGAGGCTAAATGTGAGAAGTGCTGGCTCCCTGGGTTCTAGCTTTGCCTGTAGAGTGGCATAAGGAGAGGGTCAGATAATGCAGATGTGGAGGTCACCTCCCAGCCCAGGGACCCTAAATAACATGTTCCTGTTGTTTATGTACCTGAGGACTCGGAGAGAAGGAGAAAGGGGAAGGAAGGGCTCAGAGTGGAAAAGATTGAATGCTGAGAGTGGGGAAAAGCATCTTCCAGGTTCCCCCCTACTCCCTCCAGATAGGGCTACCTGGGCTGCAAATGCAAATCTTCATGAGGGTGGCTGGCTGGGGGCTGAGACATTGAAGGCAACTTCCCTGAGAACCTGCAGCACTGGCTGGCTGTGCACTGAGCCCACTGTGTGGAGGGCAGAGTCTCCCTGGGCCTGCCAGGTGGAGCCTTTGCCACTGCCCATGGCTGCCCCTGAGGGATTACACAGAGGAGTTTGGCTGGGAACTGGACACCTCCGCTGGTAGGAAGACGATTGGCTTTGCATGCTGCATTGGGTCCTGTGACTTTGCTCCACTCACCTCTTAGTTCTTAGTAGTTTTTGCTCTTAGTAGATTTTACAGATAAAAAAAATTATACATGGATAATTCATGGCATCTGCAAATAGAAGCAATGTTATTTCTTCCTTTCCAATCTGTAGGCCTTGTGTTTCTTTTTCTTGCCCCATTACACTGTGTAAAACAACATGATATTGAATAGGAGTGATGAGGGTAAAGAGCTTAACCAGGTCCCCATCTTAAGGGAAAGAATCGAGGGCTGCATCGTCTCTGTGATGTTAGGTGTAGGTTACAGAAGGTGCCCTTTATTAAGATGACGGAAGCTCCCTTCTACTGCGTCTTTACTGTGAGTCTAGGTCATGAGTATTCCATTTTATTGATTGCTTTTTCTGCATGGATTAAGATGATCATATTGTTTTTCTTTCATGGTCTGTTCATATGGTAAATTATATGGAAGGATTTTCCAATGTTGGACTAGCCTTGAATTCCTGGAATGGACCACAGTGAGTTGTGTTCCACTATCCTTCTTATATATTGCTAGTTTCCATTGCCTGTTTTCTGTTTTTCACATCCGAATTTATTTCTTGTTTCCTTCGTTCCATATTCTCTTGTGTTAATTTGGCATATTTTTATGAGTTCATTTAACCTCCTTTATTGACGAGTTACTTATACCTCTTTTAAAAATTTTTTAGCAGTTGTCCTAGGGCTTAAAATATCTATCAATCTACTTTTACATAATTGTATACCCATTTTTGTAGCATACCAGGGCCTTTCAACAAAATATTACTAATTCCTCCCTTCCCTCCTATGTGCTATTTTGTTATAACATTGGCTTTTACAGATGCTATAAACACATGACACATTGCTATTTTTTTCTTTAGACCAGGGATCAGCAGCATTTTTATTAAAGGGTCAGACATTAAATATTTTAGGCTTTCCAGGCCATATAGCATCTCTTGCAACTACTCAATTTTGTTGTGAATGGAAACAAGCATGGGTCATATGGAAGTGAGTGGGTGTGAGTGGGTGTGAGCAGGTGTGAGTGGGTGTGAGTGGGTGTGTGAGTGGGTGTGACAGTGAGTGTGTGAGTGGGCATGAGTGGGTGTGAATGGGTGTGGGCATGAGTGGGTGTGAGAGTGGGTGAGTGGGTGTGAGCAGGTGGGTGTGTGGGTGTGAAACTGGGTGTCAGCAGGTGTGAGTGGGTGCAAGTGGGTGTGAGGGTGTGAGCGGGTGTGGAGGGTTGTGAGCGGCTGTCAGACTGGGTGTGAGTGGGTGTGAGCGGGTGTGAGCGGGTGTGGGCGTGAGTGGGTGTGAGTGGGTGTGTGGGTGTGAAACTAGGTGTGAGCTGGTGTGAGCGGGTGCAAGTGGGTGTGAGCAGGTGCGAGTGGGTGTGAGTTGGTGTGAGCGGCTGTGAGGGTGTGAGCGGGTGTGGAGGGTTGTGAGCAGCTGTCTGTGAGCGGGTGTGAGTGGGTGTGAATGGGTGAGAGTGGGTGTGAGCAGGTGTGTGTGGGTGTGAGTGGGTGAGCGTGGGTGTGAGTGGGTGTGACTGCTTTCTAGTAAAGTTTCGTTTCCAGAGACAGGTGGGCCAGATTCGACCAGCAGGCCCCTGCTTTAGACTTTATCTTTTAGATAAGGTAAAAGATGAATTTAAATTCACCTTCACTTCATCTGTTTCTAGCGTTCTTCATTTCTTTTTGCAGATCCAAGTTTTAGTCTGATGATATATTTGTTCTGACTCAAAAATTTTTAACTTTTTTTTTGTAGAGTACATCTGCTGATATTGAATTTCCTCCAGTTTTTTTGTTTGTTTTTTGTGTTTGAGAACGTGTTTCTCCTTCATTTTTGAAACGTGAAGTATTTCTCTGAGTACAGAATTCTGGATAAAGCATTTTTCTTTCTCCTGCAGTTTCCAGGCATCGCTCACTGTCTTTTTCCTTCTGGCCTCTGGGTTCTCCTTGTCTAAGGTATCTTCTTTCTCCGGCTGCCTTGAAGATTTTCTCTGTGTCTTTTGTCTTCAGCAGTTTAATATGATATCTGCACTGGGTTTTTTGTGTTTTTTGCTCTTTTGTGTGTGTATTATCTTACTTGATGTTCTCTGAGTTTATTGGATCTGTGTTTGGTGTTTGCCCCTAACTTCTAAGAAGTCTTGGCCATTATCACATCCAGCATTTCTTCTGCCCTGTTCTCGCTTCTCCTTCTGGTTTTCCAGTTGTGCACACTTGGGATGCTCGATGTGGCCCCCAGCTCTTGGATGTTCTGTTCTGGTTGGGGCTTTTTTGTTTGTTTGTTTTGCTTTTTCTTATTCTTTTTACTTTTGTATTTTAACTCAGGTAATTTCTCTGACCCATGTTCGGGTTTGCTGACTCTTCTATGCCTGTGTCAAATCCACAGATGCATCTTTCAAGCACACTCTTCATCGCTGTTACAGTGTTTGTTTTATTTCTAGCATTTCCATTTGATTTTTTCTCATACTTTCCATCTCTTCACTGAAATTCCCATTTGATATTGCATGTGACCCATTTTTTCTGTTAAAGCCTTTAACATACTAATTATAGTTATTTTAAATTCCGTGACAGATAGTTCCAACAACCGCTTCATATCAGAGTCGAGTTCTGATGATTGCTCCCTCGGGAATGTGCTGGCTTTCCTTGTCTTTTTATGCATCTCATGTTTTTTTGTTTTTTTGTTTTGTTTGTTTTTTTTCCAAGCCTCATGCCTGGAGGTCAGCAGAGGATGAGAAGGCTTCAGGCCTGGACATGGGCCTGCCTTCTTCCTGCCAAGCCTGCAGTGTGAGGCCTGCATCAGCCTGCTGAGGACCTGGGGGTTGTAATTTACTGTTGCTGCACCTACTCTCAGCACACCTGGGATTCATGTTCTCACGAGGTCACTTGGGGAGGCGCTGGTGGGGAAGGATGGCGGGCAGAGGATGTCTGCCTTGGTTCAGGTTCAAGCACTCCCTCCCCTTGGCTCTGCCCCAGGGCTGGTGCCTGGCAGCACAGCCCCTTCCTGCCCCCTCCAAGCAGGGTTCTCAGTATTGCACTGTTGTTTGTAACTGGAAGCTGTGAGTGGTAGGGTGGAGGTGGTTTCTGCTGTGATTACGCTCTTTCCTGGTGACCCATCTCCCTGGGTTTGGCCTCTCAGGGCTCCTGACACTCCCCCCAGTAGCAGTTGTGGATGGAGAGCTTTACCCTGCCCCTCCCCAGGAGTAGCTTCTCTAGTTCTGCTCCTTTGTGCATGTCTGATCAGGAACAAGGACAGTTTGTGTTTTCTCCAGATTGTCTTCATGGTCTTGCACCCCCTGAAGGAATCTGTGAAACCTCATGTTGTGTTCTAGAACAGAGCTTCTGGAACTCCGACGTGTGTCCTGTTCACTCTGGAGTCTGTTGAACTGCAGGCTGATTGAGCAGGTCTGGATCCTGCACTCTATACAAGCTCCTGGGTGATTGATGGGGCCTGGATCCCGCATTCCATACAAGCTCCTGGGTGATTGAGGGGGCCTGGATCCCGCACTCCATACAAGCTCCTGGGTGATTGAGGGGGCCTGGATCCCGCACTCCATACAAGCTCCTGGGTGATTGAGGGGGCCTGGATCCCGCACTCCATACAAGCTCCTGGGTGATTGAGGGGGCCTGGATCCCGCACTCCATACAAGCTCCTGGGTGATTGAGGGGGCCTGGATCCCGCACTCCATACAAGCTCCTGGGTGATTGAGGGGGCCTGGATCCCGCACTCCATACAAGCTCCTGGGTGATTGAGGGGGCCTGGATCCCGCACTCCATACAAGCTCCTGGGTGATTGAGGGGGCCTGGATCCCGCACTCCATACAAGCTCCTGGGTGATTGATGGGGCCTGGATCCCGCACTCCATACAAGCTCCTGGGTGATTGATGGGGCCTGGATCCCGCACTCCATACAAGCTCCTGGGTGATTGAGGGGGCCTGGATCCCGCACTCCATACAAGCTCCTAGGTGATTGAGGGGGCCTGGATCCTGCACTCCACACAAGCTCCTGGGTGCTGCTGCTGCTGCTTCTCCCTGGGCCACACTTTAAATATAAGGCTCTAGAGGAGCTGAATGAAATGCACAAAAACCACATTTTATTATTTTCTAGAATTGTTTATCTCTTCATTTTTTAATAAAAGGCACTAGCTCAGTTTATAAGTTTTAAGTTAGTGTCATCCAATATGCTCTCCTGACCTTAGCCCAAGGATTTCCCTGCAGTGCCACGAGGGCAGGAGCCCAGCCCACCAACCTGGACAGGGCCTGGAACAGAAGCTCAATATTTTCAGTTAATGAGTCTGTGGACAACTAGGATGGAAAGAGAGAGAGGAGCTGAGAAGGTAGGCACGACCTCAACCTGCGCAATGAAATCCCACTTCTTTCCTGATTACTTTGTAAGCAGGAAACCATCACTACGAGTTGGCGAGCTCCACACGACGCACCAGGCAATCCTGAGCACTGCAGATGCTCTGTGTGGAACGCAGGAAGACAGCGGCACTATCGTTTCATCCTTCTTCCTTCCATTTTCTCTCCTGACCCAGCCCCCACTGTATCCACCCAAATAACAGAGGACAGATTTGCCCACAGGGGCTGGGACAGTGTCTGACACACCTTGCTAGGATGGCCTGATATTTCTCAGAGGCTAAATACTCCCTGCCTGAAGACCCCTCAAAGTGTGGGAGCCCCCGGCATAGAGTCAGCCACACCAGGGAGCCTCTGCATGGCTCTTCTTGTGGGTATCTCATGGTTCTTGTGTGTATTCAGCTCTCTCATTTCCCAGCCAAACCCCGGGGACAGTCCTGGTGAATCTTTGTGGGAGGGCCAGGATGGGCTTGGCAGTGCTCTTGGCCTTTCCTGATCTGGCCCTGCCACACCCTCCCAGAGATGCCCAGTGGGACCTCACCTTCTACATCTCGTGTGGCTGTGCTCACGATTCGTAGCACCAAGAAAACCGTATTTGTATCCTTTCATTAACTCTCTTCTCCTACTACTACAATATTTTTGGGTATTCACTAAAATGGGAAAATAAGTAGATTATAGTGTTCTGATCTCCTACTTGATAGAACAGTCTAGGGAAAACTGACCTCCATTCACTGACCCTTGATATTTCCCTTAATGTTTTTTTCAATGGAACTTGGTGATCTACTTGATTTCAAAATTGTGAGCATAAAGTCAGCCTCTGAGAATATTGTGACCCTCCAATAAAAAGAGCATAATGTGTACTAACCCACTTCATCTCCTCACTTACCCATTCAGCCAACCTCACCAAGCACACATGGACGTACAAGGCTCTGAGACAAGACGAGGCTATTCAACGATGACTGCAGTGTCGTCTCTTCTGCTAATGACTTGCGATCTGTTGGGATCCACAAACACTGCTCATATGTGACCCAAGATCTAAATGAAGTAGTTTGGGAGTGAGAGAAGGGAGCGAGCAGATGGACCAAAAGCGTTTGGAAGGTGCAAGCGAGCCATGACTGTTGAGGCATCCCATCCCTTCTGGGAGAAGGCTGCCTTTAGTCGAATGGGGATTAAGTTCTAATCATACAGGGGAGGGCAAAGGATGTCATGTTCTGAGATGATCATAGCTCTGCTCTTCTGGTCTACTTGTGTGCTGTGTGGCACTCACTCATCTTCGTGTTGACTAATTTATATACCAGGACAATCCTATGTGGCCTTTGCTATACTGGAATTTAATTCAATGGTGTTTCATTTACAATTGTCAGGTCTATGTCCATAATCCAGTTTGGCCTATAGTGTTCTTTTGCTGTTATATTTTCATTAGATTTTAATGCCAGGAAATTGATGAGTTAATGGTATAATTGGGTAGCTTTCCATCTAAGCATGTGGGACCTAGAAATTTCCTCCTCTCATTGCCGCAAAATGCACAAACCCCTCAAATCAAATCGACTACATGGCTTTGCTTGCACCAGTGCTGATGTGGTGTTTACCTCTTTGCATTTTCACATGTGCTTCATCCACATCCCCGTGCACATGTATAGAGGGCTTGTTTAGCTTTGGTAGGATGATTCCAGCGGACAAGAAATCTGCTGTTATTTTGTATTTCTTTTATTATTGTTGTTGTAACTTTTTTTTTTTTTTTTTTTTTTTGAGATGGAGTCTCTCACTGTTGCTCAGGCTGGAGTGCAATGGTGTGATCTCGGTTCACTGCAACCTCTGCCTCCCAGGTTCACCTGATTCTCCTGCCTCAGCCTCCTGAGTAGCTGGGATTACAGGTGCCTGCCACCTGTAATTTTTTGTATTTTTAGTAGAGACAGGGTTTCACTATGTTGGCCAGACTGGTCTCGAACTCCTGATCTTGTGATCTGCCCACCTCGGCCTCCCAAAGTGCTGTGATTACAGGCGTGAGCCACCGCTCCCAGCCTGTTGTTACCTTTTATAGTACCCGAGCCAAGTACTGAATATATGCATTGCTTTAACTAATGTGGCATTTTTCCAGAACAAGTTAAGTTCCAAGAAATAATCCAATAGTGACAAAATAAACGCCATGAGGACTTCTCCTACATCCTACCATTCAGATGTCCCCATTGTTGGAGCTGTGGTGGGAAAGAACATGGCCCCTGGAGGTGACAGGTTTGGGAACAGTCCCTGGTCGCCTTATTTAACGTCTTCCCTAAAAACAGTGCTTACAGCTTAGTTTGCCAAATGCAGTCACAGAAATAACGTCTTTGGATTTTAAGACACCCTTGAGTTAGGCAGTCCCTAACCCCTGCATTGCATAGGCTGGAAATCTGGCTCAGAGAGGGGGAATGGTTCCTCACATCTACCTTATGAAGCTCCTATGGGGGCAGCTGTTGCGGAAGGTGGTGTGAGCTTCTCAAGGTCATACGGTTGTTAGTAACAGTAAGTCACTGGCAGAGCAAATGCTTGGGAGCAGCAGGAGAACGGCTGCTGCCTGCCCAGACGTTGGTCTTTGTGTCCTGCCCTGGCCCCCTCCTGGGCCATCCTGTGAACAGGGCACTCAGGGGCTTTGCTAGCTCTGAGAGGAAGCAGGGTCTGGTGCTGCTGCCAGCATGGTTCACAGGGTGTTCAGGACATAGGAAGATGTCCAGGGTGTCTCAGAGCCCACAGCAGTCACAGGAGGGCCCGCTCAGTGCACCTTCTGGGAGAGAAGCAACCACATGTCACTATTTTTTTTTTTTTTTTGGAGACAGGGTCTCACTCTGTCATCCAAGCTGGAGTGCAATGGTGTGATCATGGCTCATGGCAGCCCTGACCTCCCAAGATCACATGATCCTCTTGCCTCAGCCTCCCAAGTAGCTGGGACCACAGGCAGGTGCCACCACACCTGGCTAATTTTTGAAAAATTGTTTGTAGAGATGGCGTCTTGCCATGTTGCCCAAGCTGGTCTCAAACTCCTGCACTCAAGCCATCCCTGCACCTCAGCCTCCCAAAGTGTTGGGATTACAGGCATGAGCCACTGCACCCAGACTCCTGCTCTTAAAATGCCATTATTCATAGGCAACAGCTGCAGAATAGATAAGTGAGACTTCATCAAAATCAAAACCTGCTATGCATCAAGGACACAACAAACACAGTAAGACAGAGTCAACAGAGGCAACCCAGGGAGGGGAGGAAATATGTGCAAATCATATACCTGATTGGGGTTAATATCCAGAATATGTAAAGAAATACAACTCAACAACAAAACACAACTCAACTACAGAAGGGGCACAGCATGTGAACAGACATTTATCCGAAGAAGATACATAAATGGCCAGTAAGCACAGGACAAGTTACCCTACAGCACCCCGCCCTGGGGAAGTGCAGACCAGAGCCCCATGAGATGCCACCTCACACCTGCAGGGATGGCAATTATAAAACGAAACAAAACAAAGTGTTACCAATGGAGGGTGTCCAGGTTCTTGGTGTTTTGAACAAAGAATTGGACAAAACACACAAAGCAACAAAGCAACAGCATATATTTATTGAAATGAAAGTACACTCCACAGAGTGGGAACAGGCTCTAGCAAGCAGCTTAAGAGCACCAGTTACAGAATTTTCTGGGATTTAAATACCCTCTAGAAGTTTCCCGTTGGTTACTTGGTTTACACCCTATGCAAATGAGGTAGTGGCCCACAACCTGTCTGATTGGCTGCAGAAGGTGACCAATCAGAGGCTGAAGTGGAGTTACAAAGTTACACATGAAGACTTGGCCTGTGACCAGTCTGATCAGTTTCAGGAGGGGACCAATCAGAGGTACTTTCATTTTTCATCTGCAATGCAGAAAAAGGGTGGGGGGTGTTGCAAAGGGAGTAGCCTCTGATCCTTTGGCCACTTTGGGTTTGGAGAGGTGCAGTTTTTCTTTTGATTCTGTTCTAGGAAGTCAGTGTGAATCGGCCTTAGGTTCCCTGCCTCCAGACCCTATTCTGCCTCAAAAGAAAATAACAAGTGTTGGGAGCATAGGGAGAAACAGGACCCCTGTGCACTGTCAGTGGGGATATAAAATGGTGCCATTGTTATGGAAGGCAGTATGGCGGCTCCCTAGAAAATCAAGCGTAGGCCAGGCGCAGTGGCTCACGCCTGTAATCCCAACACTTTGAGAGGCTGAAGTGGGCAGATCACGAGGTCAGGAGATGGAGACCATCCTGGCTAACAGGATGAAACCCTGTCTCTACTAAAAATACAAAAAATTAGCCAGGCGTAGTGGCACACGCCTGTAGTCCCAGTGACTCAGGAGGCTGACCCAGGGGAATTGCTTGAACCTGGGACACGTAGGTTGCAGTGAGCTGAGGTCGCGCCACTGCGCTCCAGCCTGGGTGACAGAGTGAGAAAAAAAAAGAAAAAGAAAAAGCATAGAATTAGCACACGACCCAGAAATTCCCGTACTGAGTCCGTGTCCAAAACACATAAAAGCAGGATCTCAGGCTAATATTTGTTCCTGGGAGCACTATTCAGAATCGCCAAAATATAGAAACAACCCAAATGAACAGATAAACTAACGGTGAAATGTCCGTGCAATGGCAGGAGATTCGGACACACGCGACAGCATGGAGGAACCCGGAGGATGTTACATGACATGAAATAAGCCAGCGATGAAAGGACAGAAACTGCATGATTTCACTTACATGACAGACCTAGAGTCGGCAAATTCATAGCGATGGAGAGTAGCCGGGGGGCTGCCCGGGGCTGGGGGAGGGAATGGGGAGTGAATGTTGAACGGGGACAGAGTTTCAGGTTGGGAAGATGAGAAAGTTCTGGAGATGGTGGTGGTGATGGCAACACAACAATCTGAGTGTGCTTAATGCCTCTGCCTGTGCACTTAAACGTGGGTCAGATGGTGAATGTTGTTATGTGTATTTTACCGCAATTTAAAAAAATATCTTGATGCTGCTGGCTATTGGGCATGCCTTCTCAAAATAAGACACCCATATCTTGCCACCACAGGGCTTTTTCTTGGGTGATTGCACTTCATCTCTTATTAAAAATAGAAAAGAAGGAAAACATAGGATAGAGAAGATTCTCAGGTTATTTTGCTCAGATTTTTTTCTAAGATATCCTAAGAGTTGCCTCAGACATGGATTATTGCTTTTGGTATGGAAAATATATAAAAATGTGATAGAATCTTGGGTTGGAAGGAACCCTAGGAGGTCATGCTACATCTTCTTCAGTCTGCAGATACCATATCACTTCAATTACCCCAGGTGGAAGAGAATTTATTCTTCTTAGGAAAAATATCTCTTCTTACCCATTTCAATTGTAAGCTTTTCACTGACAGGAGAATGTTCTTTATAGCTCCTCCAACAGTCGCTTTGTTCAAAAGAGCATCTGCAGAGGACCTGCCTTGACCACGCTCTCTCCTGGGCAGATGGAGGCCCAGGGCAAATGAAGCAACATCTTCCTCATCACTCACAGGCCCAGGAGGGGCAGGCACAGCTCTGTTGACTTCCATCTTCTCCTCCAACCCCATGGTCAGGGAGAGCTCCAGGCATGTGTATCTACAAGATGAGAGACCAAAGCTCACCTCACTGCCTTCCCCTCCCCTCTTTCCTTCCTGCTTCCTTCCAGGCATCTTTTCTCATAGTGCGGTGTTCTCTGGAGCCCTCCTGTGTGAGCCTGGGTTCCTTTGGAGCCCCCAGTGAGACCTTTTGGTACCCTCCCATGTCCACCTGTTCCCCTTTTGCTGTGTACCTTGCAACAGAACCCTGTCTTCTAGAAAGGCTTTGTCAGTTTTAAAAAGAATGGAGTCACAGCATATGTGATGCAGTTATTACAATAAAATTGGACTGGTATTCTGCTGCACTAGAACACTTCTAGAATTTACCAAATGTGCCACTTTTATCTTCAATTCCAGAGGTCTCCTAACCTTCAGAGGCAGTCAGACACTAGAATCACAGCACAGTCGGCCTTTCGATTGGGATCCACCTTCCGCTGGACAGTACAGCCAATAGACATCTGGCTTACAGACTGGGGAGAATGCAGGTCGCTGACAACCTGCAGATTGTTCTTTCTAGGGTTAATATCCGTCTGCATTATTGCATTATCTAATCACTGATCAAAAAATGTTTAGCTGGAACCGGAACTGGTTCTTTGGGTGACACAGCAGTTGATCCTCCTGGTGTGTCACTTTATTTATTGCTCCATTGATAACTGTTCTCTCCAGTCCATGTGTTAATCTACCTGGAGGGTTCCCACAGGCACACCTCTGAGGTGGATCAGGCACCATTCTGTAGACAAAGATACTGAGGCTCAAAGACATTATTTTCCCAAATAAGGCCACCCATGTGTTTGGACTCCAGCTACATGATACCATTACAGAGTCAATGCAGGCATGGGAACTCCAGGGCTAGAATAAGGTCAGGGATACAGTTGGGCCTCCTGTGAGGGACATGGGGCCAGAGCCAACAGGGAGGACAAGATCAGTTCCCTTCCTGGCCCTCCTGAATGTGTGGCACCCATGTCTGCCCATTACTTGTCTGGCTGAGCTGATGGTCCTAACTGCTGGAAGGAAATCCAGAAGAGTAGATATTGATGTAAAGATTAAGTGAAATGCCATTATAATATGCAGCCTATAGTTGAACTGTTTAATCTATCATTGCTATCTGTCACATTGCTCGATGACTGAAAGCAATTGCATTACCAATCTATAAAGCTGGAGTCGCTCCCTGGGTGATAATTGACCAGATTTGTATTTCTATTCATGGGGTTTTTAAAAGGAGGTAAAAGTGGGTTGTGTCCAAGTACAGCATTTGATTGTGTTAATAAATGTGATAATCAGGTTTGAATGTACAACAAAGTGCCTCCCACAAGTAGCGTGGAAGCCCACGCCACTGGGGGCCTGTAACCTTATAAAACCCCAGGCCATTGTCCCTAAATTACTGCATTTATTATACAAGGATTATTTCAACTGTACCCACTGGAATTATTTGTTCTAAAAGAAAATTTTAAGTGAAGAGTCATTTAAGAAAAACACATTCTGCCTCTTCTACCCCTACCCTCCCTGTCAATCAGTGCCCTGGGAATTGGAGCACAACTGGGTTGAACTCCCCAGAATCACAGGAGGGGCTTTCTGGACTCTCGGTGGAGGTCTGCGGTACAGGCTTGTCTGGGTCTCAGCAGCGCAGCCACTGAACCCCGCCTGGGTGGGGGCTAGGCTCTAGCAGGTGGAGGCCCTGGTCCCCCTGGCTCCAGAGACATTGCTCGGCTCGTGACACCTTGACCGTTTTACCTGGGACTCAAGCCAACTGTTCACCCAGCAGAGGACCTGAAATGGGACTGTCCTGTGGTGAAAGGCACCAGGTGTCAGAGCAGCCAGACCCTGGCTTAGTGCTCTTGTGGCCGCTCGCACACACTCCCTCTGGGGAGGCCCTCCAGGCTCTGGATACCAGCAAGGTATCTAAGCCCTCCTCATGTCTCCATCTGCAGAGAGAAGCCCAGGCTACCCACCGTGCATGCTTCCTGTGAGGGTTCCAGATACCTCCAGCAAAGCAGTCAGCTCTCAAAACAACCACGCCAATACCAGGAATAGTTATTAATATTTATAATATTGACTGCAACTTTCTTCCTCAGGTTTTGAAATTTGGAAGTCCAATTTCCAACTAGGGTACAGCAGAAGTGTGCAATCAAAGTGGGTTATGTGGGAGGAGCTGAGTCTGGTTCTTTGACGTTGACCCTCGTGTGGTCTTGGAATCACCCTTGTGGGTTCAGGTGTCACTGTCTGCCTGAGGGCTGGGGAAGCAGCCCCGAGGAGGAAGCTGCTAGCGCATTGACAGTCTGTCATCTCACAGCTTGGCCTTTTGGGATGGTGATTGCTAGAGGCCTTTGTCACAGAGCACGAGCATGTTTGCAGACACCACCGACACCCCCAGAGCATCTGCAACTACTTCCTTTACATAAACACCTGCCTTCCTGAGAGCCTGTCCACCCCTCCACCCTGAGTCTCGTCACCACCCTGCAGCCCACACTGGCTTCCAGGGAAAGACCCTCGAGGCCTTTCTGGAGGTTAAGGGCAATGAATTCATCAGCAGCAATTGCCATCTTCAACCTTTGCGCTGCCTTCTTAGGAGGCCTGAGAGCTGCAGGACAGCCTGTCTGACCTGTGGGCTAGCTTAGGCTCTGCTCCCACCTCACTTTGCTCTCTGTTCAGATTCATCTGAGAGCAAATGGCAAATAACTGGAGAACACTTTGCAGCCTCCTGCGGGGGCCCCTCCCGCCATGCATTGAGCACAGAACACAGGGCCTTTTTGGCAACTGATCTCCTGTCTCTATTTCTATGGCTCCTATCACCATGGTATCCAAGATCCCTGCAGGCATGAGGCTAAAAACAGAACCTGGGGGTGGGGGAGTGTGCCCTTGCTGACTTCACAGTTATGTTCTTCAGGGAACAAACTAAAAGCAGAACACTGGCTCCCTCCTCCCCACTGGGCACCCCAGAAGGCTGCCTTTCAGGCCTTAGGGTGCAGGGGCGGTGGGTGTGCCCTTTGAAGAGGGAGAGCGACCCAGGCCTGGCAACCCCAGCCTGGTGTCACTTAGGACCTGCTCAGAACCTGGGTACCTGGATTCCCACACCGTCCACATGCATGTAGGGTTGGCCAAGAGGCCAGATGCTGTGCTGGGCCGGGGGGGAACAGAATGAAGAAGACAGCCCCCGTCCTCAAGCAGACGGCAGGTCATCTGAATCGAGCCTCACAGGAAGCCATGGCTGAGTCAGGATGAAATATGCCGAGTAACTGGCAGAGCGGCTGCAAATGTGTTAGAGGGCCAGGGAGGGATTCCACGTGGCTTCATAGAGGGAGTGCTCCTGGCTGGGCTGGGTTGGGCCTGAGAAACCAAACAAGACTTTGGCAAGCAGAAATTGCTATGGAGTGAGTGGGTAGCCTCCTGGGACATCAGGGCATCACAGATGCAGCCTCCATGCCCCACCTCGGGGTGCACCTTTCAGCAAACAATTAAAGAGCTCTCCCTGCCAGGTGCTGAAGATGCAAATAATGGTGGAGCTAGGTCGGGGGTCATGGGAGGCCCTAGTGTGGGCTTGGTTCTAGGCAATGTGGAGCCAAGGAAGATTGTATTCAGGGATGTCACTGACCAAAGCTTTTTTAGTGTTTTATGTATGGGAATTCAATCATCAAATATTCTTCCTGTGATGTGGATGTGTTTCCAGCAACAGATTAGCGGTTAACATTACACACAGCAATGTCTTTCTGCGTACTGTATGCACTCATGGAAATTCACAGTTTAGTTCTCTCAGGTGAGAAGGCCGGGCTCTAGGCAAATTCTACTTCATAGTTCTTTATGGTTTACAAAGCATTTCAGACCCATGGTTTTGGTGGATTCCAGGTGATGTGGCTGGCAGGCGGGTATCCCCAGCTGCAGTGTGGTGGTACAGACCCCCGTTTGACCAATGTCCTCCTCTGTGAGTCGAGGGCATATGAGGGCAGCCCATGCAGCAGCACTGGCAGGATCTAGGGGCTCACACTGTGCTGGGAAGGAAGGGAACCTCATTCTGAGTTGGCCAAGCTGGGACTTGTCAGGTTGCGCCCATGCCCTGCGATCCAAGCCTCTGCCATGATGTCACACCTTGCAGATGACCTTGGACTCTGCAGCCCTCCATATTCCCTCATGGAAAGCTAGTCGTGTTCTTCACTAGCTTTTGGAGGAAGGTTTTACAGACTGGGGAGCCTCCTTCTGAATTGGCCAAGCTGGGGCTTCCAGGCTGTGCCCACGCCCTGTGATCCAGGGCTCTGCCTTGAAGTCATGCCCTGCAGATGACCTTGGACTCTACAACCCTCCATGTTCCCTCGTGGGAAACTAGTCATGTTCTTCACTAGCTTTTGGAGGAAGGTTTTGTGGACTTGTTCCCCTAATGCTACATAATTGTCTGTACTTTATACTTTCATGTTTTAACCTTGGAGCGTTTGCTAACTGAAAGAACCCACTCTCTGGAAACCACATTTCCTCCTCATTTCACGGTAAAATGGCAAAGTCCTTTCTTTTGTTTCCTAAACGCTATCACATGGCAGTCGATTGCTCTTCCTCCTCATAAGATAATTTCAAGTTAGGAATATATGAGAAGCCATTTCTGTCTCGTCAAAATTCCCTACAAAGGGATTTTGTTGAATCTTTTATAACAACCGTCTTAATGGACTTCTGGGTTGAAACTTGGCCGGTGCAGCCAACCATGTGAAGTGAATTGACGGGTACAGGTTGAATTGTTTCCCTCTTTAAAAAAAGCCAAAGTTCTAACTCCCAGTGCCTGTGACTGTGGCCTTGTTTGGAAATAAGGTCTTTACAGATAATCAGGTCAAGTTGAGGCCACTAGGGTGGCCCTGATCCGATAGGACTGCTATTCTCACGCAGAGAGGAACTGGGGCACAGACATCCACGAAGGAAAGCTGTGGAGATGAGGGAGAGGACAGCCACCTGCAAGTGGAGAGACATCTGGGGCCATCAGGAGCCGGGGAAGAGGCAGAAACAGACGCTCCCTCACGGCCCTCCCAGGACCCAGCCCTGCCAACACCTGCATCTTGGACTTCTGGCCTCCAGAACCCTGAGACAATACATTTGTGTTGTTTTGAGCTACCCTGATTGTGGCACTTTGTTATGGTGGCCCCTGGAAAGAATACACTGACTTAAGTTCAGTGATACAAGCCAGGTTGGCTCAGAGCCAACTGACTCCTTTGGTCACTTAGAAGAACATTTCATCAATGCTTTGTGAATGTATCTCTGTAATGTTTCCATTTAAGAAACCTCCTAAAGTAAAGAAGCGCCCTATGTTCAGAACGCATTGCTGCAGCCTCTTAGAGAAAATGACCACATACAATTGTGATCCCCTCGTCAACCAATCAGCATCCAGCAGGGACAGCACAGGGTGGAAGCTGGAGCTTCCCATGGGCGGTGACAGGGCCGGCTTCTCCAGGACCTTCCCATGGGCAGTGACAGGGCCGGCTTCTCCAGGACCTTCCCATGGGCAGTGACAGGGCCGGCTTCTCCAGGACCTTCCCATGGGCAGTGACAGGGCTGGCTTCTCCAGGACCTTCCCATGGGCAGTAACAGGGTCAGCTTCTCCAGGACCTTCCCATGGGTAGTGACAGGGCCAGCTTCTCCAGGAGCTTCCTGTGGGTGGTGACAGGGCGAGCTTCTCCATGCCTTTAAATTTCTGATCTCTCATCAGTTTAAATATCTGCTATGTGATAGCTTTTCATCAAATCTGGCTATTTTTCTGCCTTTATTCTGGCTTTGTTAAAGCGCTCAACCAGGATCACTTTCCGTTACATGTCTTGGAAAGCCCTGATAATTAGATTTAAATCATAAAATATGGTAATGCATGCAGATAGTAGCAGGATAAAGATTTCAAAGGCAACTTAATGTACTATTGCCTTGGCAGAAACAGTTGAGTGCTGTGTAGCTGATACACTACGGGCTGCCGTGAGGCACAGGAAAGTGAACTAAGGAGAGCCTAAGAATCTACCAGGGCTGTGCCTGAGAGGCCAAGGGCTGGGATCGCTGTTAGATCTAAATCAATTATCTTGTAGTTCTTAAAATCTTTCCGAATTTGTTCCTTGCCATGTGCATGTGCCCATTTGGTGCTGCCAAATCTTCCAGCTGCGTATTTACTGAGTGTCTGCTCTCTGGAGTGCACACCATCAGGTGTTGGGGGTGTTTCAGAGTTTCAGCATGACTGAGCTCTCAGGGAAGAGAGACAACAGATGTACAAGTGACACCCGCTGTGTGTCCTGGAATGCCCACACTCCAGGACACGTGGAGAGAAGGAAGAAACAACTCACAAAGCAGACCATCTTCACCTAGGGGAGTGGACGTGAGCCCTGCTGGGGGCCACACGGTGAGGCATGACCTCCTAAGCATGTCTCTTGCTCCATCTCCCAAGCAAGGAGACGCCACAGCCCCAGGGGCTTTGGGGAGGTGACATAGCCAGGTGAGCAGGTGTTCTGGGGGAAGAAGTGGAGGGACTGTAGGATTAGGAAGATGGCCTGGCACACTGTTCACCACCTTTAACTGAGAAGGACTAGGACCCATGTGAGGAGATCTGCAAGAATTTCCTATCATCTGGTTATGAAATTTCATGAGAAAAGGCTCATGAGGGTGGGAGACAAGGACAGTCACAACTCACACAAAGAGGGAGCCGGGAGAGTGACCAGGGTAGGGGTGTCCAGGTCCCCTTGACTCGGGGCCAGCGCAGGACGGATGCACATGGTGGCCTCGTGGGGTGTGCTGGATGAAGTGGACTCCATCAGTAATTTTGCTGGCCTCCTGGGTGATGTATGGCAGGGAGTCAATTCATTCTTCCCAAAGAAAATGGGGGAGAGGTGCTCCGTCGGCTTCCTAGTCTGGGAAGATGTTCTGGGCCACTCCACTCACAGATGTGAACCTGGGGTTAGTGTCATTCATTCATCCCACAAACACTTATGGACCTAAACAAAGAAGGATCTTCGTAGCATCCCACATAGGAACTCAGTTCACCCACACGAGGCCTCCCTTGGCCACTCCACGTGAAGTCTTCACCATCCCTGCTGCCCTGTCTCCCTGAGGTCCCTCCACCTGCGGTGAGCTGCAGGATGCTCTGCTCACTGTGTGCCTGGTTACCGCTGGTCACCACCCCAGCAGTCAGAGTACAGGGTGCAGGAGGGATGGATCCTTTGTCTTGTACACTGATGGGATCCCGGTGCTTAAAACAGGCCCTACCACATAGTAGGGGCTCCACCCATGTTTGTGGAATGAATGAATGACGAATGGGGAGAGAGTTTGGATTCTGCTGCTGACTGAGTGTGCACAGGTGGGGCAGCCTGAGGGAGGGACACTGAAGCCTGCTGTGGGCCTGCACACCAGCAGAGTCTCTGGTCATGTCAAATTGAACTTCAAATTCAAAGGAACAAATGCTGGTTGTCTTGCCTTGTATTTATTAGGTAAATGTTTCCCAATGCATAGCTCTGTTTTGGGAGCAGCTGGACGCATTAGTGGAAGCCATCAACTGCCTCCTGGAATCATTTAACACATCAACATTTTACAGCAGCAAATGGTGCCTTACAGCAGCAAGTCGGAGCCCTCTAGGATTTCTTTCAAAGCCCTTTTTGTCAGTGTCTGTTCAGATTGTCTGACTTCCTATTGAGCTAGAAAGGAAAACTTTAGAAAGTCGCTTGCACTGATATGCGGATGGGGGACTTCCGTCTTTTTTTTTTCATGCTTTAAATAAAGAATTGACGATATTGTTTTGATGTGTTAATATCCTGGTTTCTTCTAAATACATTTTCTTCTCTTCCTTTCATGAAAATGATCAGATTTGACCATGTTGCATCCTTAGCAGGTATGCAGGAAGCACGGGGTGACTGGGTGCTCCCTGGGGGCAAGCATTGTCCCCCACGAGTTCCTCAGGATGCCTGGTGTCCCGTGGTCATCTGGGTGAGTGAGGGAGTGAAGCCAGGTGTGAGGAAATGGATGGGTTGTAGGATGTAAGTTACTGAATTCTGGGATTTAAAACAAGTACCTGTGCGGCCTGTAGGACTCAAGCCTTCACTAATTTGCTACACATCTTTCCGTGTTGCCTTCTGACCAAGTGTTAGTCTATAAAATTTCTTTTAATCACACTATGAAACTGAAAAAGGTTTTATCTTTCAGGCATGGCTGTGATTGTTTTGAAATGCCATTCTGTCTCTCTGTTGAGGTTTAATTATCTGTTATGAATAGCATCTGTGGAATTCATGTTGCCCAACTTGTTTTGGAAGAGAAACCATCAAATATTTGGTAGCAAGAAAGCCAAGTGATGATGGTTACATCAATCACACAACTCTGGGCTCTCCCTCTCATCAAAAGACACATTGCACAGCCCATCAGGGAGGAAAACATCCGGGAAATAGGGACCGATGGCTGCCGTGCATGGCCTCACTCACTTTATGTGTTTTTTCAGCGATGTTGCCTCATGGTGCACACACATGTGCACACACATGAACACGCAGGCAGACACACATTCTGGCCTCAATGCCTTCCAGCTCCCGCAGGCACCTGAACTCCGACTGAAATGTTACCTTCTGCCGGAGTTGTGGTCTCTGGAGATTTGCTCCTGCAGCATCAGGGGTCTCCAAACCCAAGGACACTTGTCTCCATGTGGAGGAAGCATTTGAATTTCTCCCCAGCTGCCTGGTCCCTCCCCTTTGAACGATGTTGTTGAACGTTGAGGCTCTAGTCACTTGAAAGTTCCATGGTTCATGGAAAGTTTGCTGCCTTCTTCTGCGGTGATGTGGGTTGGAACACTGCTTAGCGTTCCGCCTCCCCCTTCTCTGACATGGCTCTGTAAGCGCTGTCTCATTAAGAGTAATGTTTTTTCCGTCATGGGTATTCTGTTAGAGTTGTTCCATCTCCAAATATGTTTTTTTCCCATATCCACATGTCAATCAGCAACTTGTCTCAGGCTCGAAAATGATAGTCGGGAGAGTTGAAATCGCTAGCAGTTTTAACACCAAAATGTAACCATTCCAGGCTCAGAATGACTGCAGAATAAATAGCTGCATTCAAAATTGGGCCACATTGCAAAGGCAAGTGCCCAGGTTATTCTAGAGTAATCTTGGGCATTGCAAGTCAAGTCAGTCTGGTTTTCTTGAATGAGTGAGAACCCAGGTTTTTCCACCCAAGGTCTCACTGGCCCAGCGAGCCGAAGCCTTGGGCTCACTTGCTTAGGCTCATGTGGACAACTGGATTGGACACACATTTTCACTGGAATTGTGCCCCTACAACTTTTCCAAAGGGAAAATCCCGGGTGTGCATGGATGTGGGGATGGCTTTTATGTGTAGAAACAAGGGGAAGGGATGGCCCGGCAGGCCCGGAGGAGGAAATTTCCTGGGCAAGAGGATTCTGTAGACATGAGGCTGGGCTCCTTTTAATTTTGGGTGGCTCTAGGCCCAGGGACTATACCTGCTTAGCTTATTCCATAGAAGGTTCTCACAAGGCAAAGTTCAGGTGCTTGGCTTTGCATCTTGCACAGGCTTGGAGGGTGGGCATGACTTCAGGGAGAGACCCAACCACACGTGCAGGTGGCAGGTGGCACCCACATTCCAAAGAGTGGCAGATGGAGGTCCAGGCAGGGTTTGTGAGGCAGATGTCAGGGCACAGAGCTTTCCCACAGGTGAGCCCGGGACACTGGAGGTTCTGAGATGGTGGAAATGAAGGCAGTCTAGCGATGGAGATGGGGCCACAGTGCTGATCTACGTGGTGCAGGGCTTGGTTTAGAGAAAGTGGGGAGGTGATTTACCCTCACCTGCAGGACTGGCAGCAGCCAAGACTCAGACAGTATTAGCCCTAGGATGAAATGTAGAAAAGGCCTTCAGAAACAAAGTGCTAATTTAGGGCCTGGAGTCAGGGTCAGTTCTTGACATCCACCTGCTCCCCAGTCCCAGGACAATCTGTTGCAAGCCTGGGTTATGACCCATATTTCATGGTTTGCAGACCACAGGTATGCCATGGAGGATGACTGAGTTTGATCCTTGGCCCTCAATCTCAGCTCCCCAGCCCAGGACCCTGGCCACCTCTCCTGTCTCAGGCCATCCCTTCTGCGACCACACCCTGCTGACCAGGGACTCAGCCCTCGGGACTGAGAGGGCCTCCCCATGGCTTGGACCCCTTGGATATCACGCCAGCTTAGGTGGAACCTGGTTCACCAAGTAGCCTTGGATGCCTCAACATGTAAGACTAGGAATATCCAGAAGTTGCTGGCATCATCAACAGAATAGCTCTTTAAATGTACCATGGCCAGTTCCGAGTTTTCTTCCCAGGGCCAGAGCAGAGGGGCTGTGTGGGGAGGGAAGCGCACCACGGCCTCATCCCGGAAGCACCACGGGAAGCGTGGGGCTGGATCTTTGGGTGAGATGTCATTTTGCAAGATGGCTCTTTCCAGAAAGCCCATGCGTGTGTTTCACAACGGGTTGATGTGAATCTGGTGCACTTCTGTGTGTTTCACAGTGGGTTGATGCCACTGGAAGTGTGAATCTGGTGGACTTTCCCTTCTGGTCTACACAGTCTAGAAAGCACAAAGTAAGGAGGGAAAGGGAAGGAGAAAAGTGAGCTATGAAAAACCCAGTGATGACCTAATAATGACAAAGCTGACGGAAGCACAATGACAATCACAGCAAACACAGGTATGGTTTAGTGTGAAGATTCTGAGAGGATGGGCGCCAATGGGTCTGGCGGCGAACACACCGCAGATCCTCATCATCTTAGAGAGAAGTGACCACCCAGCAGCCCTGTTGGTGAAGGTGTGTCAGGATGAAACGTTCCCACGGGACTAGTAAGCACAGAAAGGTGTGTGTGTGTGCCACCTGACTTTGCACTGCCCCAAAGCATCAAGGAAGCCGGGGGGCCAGGCCTGGCTCTTGTCTAAAAGAGCCCCTCGGAGACCTGGGGGGCTGGATGTGCCAGGACGGAGGGGTCTCAACCAGCTGGGACTCAACAGGCCATGGATGGCCACGCACAGCTGACCCCACCATGCCCCTCATGGAGGTGCCTCCCTCCTGCATTCCGTCCGCATCCACCTGGGCAGTGGTGGCCCAGGACCTCACACCAGCCCCCGCTGGGGGAGCCTGGAGCCCCTCCCTCTGTGGGAGAAAGTCCGCTGGGATGCTGGCCCCTGCAGACAGAACCAGGACAAAGCACACGGGCCACGTGTCCAAAGACAAATAGGACAAAATTGGCATTCTGGTCTCTCCGACACCCTCAGCAAGGCCCAGCTCCGTCCAGTATCGGTATCTTGAAATGGGCACGATTTGTGTACAAATGAAATACAAATCTGAGGTTCATCACTCTCCTGATGAGGCTCTCGGTCTTCCCTCTTCCTCGTGTGAAAATGAAATATGAATATGAGATTCATCACTCTCCTGATGAGGCTGTCTCTGTCTTCCCTCCTCCTCTGAGCACAGGCTCCCGGCCTGACCCTGACCTTCTGCAATAATTAAGCTCTTGGCCAGGGCTCTCTGCCTGTACACGCTCTGTCTCTCCTCCCTTCATTTCCTCGGCAGGCCTTTGGGAACAGACCCATTGATGCTAAGCACACAGTTTTGGACGGGATCTCCTCCAGGCCACCGCCGCCTCGTGAGAAAGCGCCGGAATGATCTCAGGTGCATTTTTAGTTACTGATCCCCGTGCAACTGGACTCTGCTTCTTTAAACATGGACAATGGTTCTGGTGCGAGGCTTGATCATTATCTCCCACCTCTGAGTCTCATTCAAGGGGACCACTCGCCTGTCATTATTTTGGCCACATGTCCTTTCCCATTTCTTATCCCTAATCTCATTATCTTCCCTTTTTCTCTGCTTAATTGCATTCAGCACTTACCCCACTTGCGGCTCATCCCTCTGAGTGACACTGTCTCACCTCTGTCTTTGTTGGCTGGCCCTGACGAGTGACTGTCATTATCGGAGGTCCTCGCTGTCCTGGGTGTCTTTTCTCTTAGGACTAAACAGGTCCTTTGCTATCCTTACCCCCTTGCAGCCTCCAGCAGCGCTCAGCACCCATTTCCAGGCTCCATTTCTCTCTCCAGGTCCACAGCGCCTCCTCTCTCCCCTGTCCACATCTGGGCACCTGGCGCTATTTCCAGTTGAACATTTTATAATGCTGTGGAATGGGGATCCCAAGGGTAGTTACTTCTATTTTTATCTTTCATGTCTTCAAAACAAACCAAAGGGAGAAAACCACATTTATTAAGCCACAGTCTGTGTCATAAAGCACTGCAAAGCCTTTCATTCTCTGAGCTGATCTCAATTGCCCCTTGTTTTTATTAACCTGGGCTAGTCTGTTTCCCTGAGATGCTATTAACTACAGCAAGAGATTTCTCCGAGCAGAGGCTGCAGGAGCTTGGCCCCACATGTCACTGCATGTGTGTCTGCCGGGCCTGTGGGTGATGTGCTCACGTGTGTGTGTGTGTGTGTGTGTGTGTGTGTGTGTGTCTCTTTCTCTGGGTACACTATCTTTATGCAATAGAATGTGGACATGCATTTCTATCCACCAGGAAATATGCCTCATCCAGTTGAAATAAATGAGCCCATGATCCTTATCTTTTCTGTAAGCCCTACATATGGAAGGCATTTGCTGATGACTCCTGAAAGCTGCACATTTCAGCTTCCCTGGTGTTTCCTGCAGGGTCTGGGATGGGTATTGCCTCCATCCACGGGTTTGTCGGCTGCCGAATGTGCTGATTTCCCAGTCCCCCGTATTGACACATTCCTGGCTTCCTTCCCCACCCTTGCTCTTCCTCTGGGAAATGCATGCATTGCCCTCGTCTGCTCCAGCCTGCTTTGTGAAGGATCAGAGAAAATATTAATTGATTTTTTAAAAGAAATTAATTATCGTTGCCATGTTTCAGAATCCTCATTGTCTCCCTGGGTGACCTCTGGCTTTATAAAGTTGCATTAAATTGTGTAACTTTACTTCATGAGGCCTTCTTTTCATTTCCAAGCATGACTTTCTCACCTTTTTTTTTTATTAAAAAAAAACTGTTTAAACTTCAATCTGAGATGTTTTTCTCATTCCTCTCTGTCCCGGCGCTTTATACTTACAGGTGCCCCTTCCTTAGGATTCATCCTTTCTACCCTGGCTGCTTGTAGATGATAATGCTTAGCATTTATATGTGCTGTTCATCTTCAAATGCTCCACAAACTTGGGGAGGTTTAATTGTCTTGCCCTTTCAGGCACCACTGGATCAGCCACCCGAGGCCCAGACGCAGCCCCAGAGGCTCAGGGAGGACAGTCCCCGCGTCTTGCTGACCTCCTGTCTAATTCTACATGCAGGGGCCTTCTCCGGGAGGGAATGAGGTCCGCCGTGTCCTCCAGAGGCTGATGGCAGCACAACTTATGCATTTCACCCCATTAAAACTATAATCGATTCCTAAACCCCACACCGCGGTGCTGTTAGTGGCAAGCGTGGCACACTTCACACAGAAGAAGGCGGAAAACAGGGAGGCTGTGTTGAGCATCCGGCTTGCTTCCTGTGACCAATCAGGCCCATGGGGAAAACGGGCTTCCTAGAAATACCGGGCAACAATGACTGGGGGCAAGATGCTGTTTTATGCAGCGACCAATTTAACAGTTAAAAATGATATTTTATGTGGTAGCACCGGGGTGCAATGTCTGACAACCTTGTGACTCTCGTTAGAGTCGCTGTAGATGAAGCTGCTGAGAGTCACTGAATAACTTTTCTTATAAAAATTCAGGGCAACATCACAGTTAGAGATGGACAATTAAGAACAGATTGTTGTTTTGGACTGCTTCAATTTAAGCTTTCCCTAGGGTAGTTTTATTTCTAATAAATTTCATGTCCTCTTTCTGGAATCTTCTGATACCTTCCACCCTAGGACTGTCTTTCCCAGCCTCTAAGGACCATGTTCCTTATATTTCATCCTTATCTCTACTTCTTTTTTTTTTTTTTTTTTTTTGAGACGGAGTCTCGCTCTGTCGCCCAGGCTGGAGTGCAGTGGTGCAATCTCGGCTCACTGAAAGCTCCGCCTCCCAGGTTCACGCCATTCTCCTGCCTCAGCCTCCTGAGTAGCTGGGACTACAGGCGCCCACCACCACACCCAGCTAATTTTTTTGTATTTTTAGTAGAGACAGGGTTTCACTGTGTTAGCCAGGAATGGTCTCGATCTCCTGACATCGTGATCCACCCGCCTCGGCCTCCCAAAGTGCTGGGATTACAGGCGTGAGCCACCGCGCGTGGCCTCTTTTTTTTCTTTTTTTGAGACGGAGGCTCGCTCTGTCGCCAGGCTGGAGTGCAGTGGCACAGTCTTGGCTCACTGCAACCTCCGCCTCCCGGGTTCAGGCGATTCTCCTGCCTCAGCTTCCCAAGCAGCTGGGACTAGAGGTGCGTGCCACCACACCCGGCTAATTTTTTGTATTTTTAGTAGAGACATGGTTTCACTGTGTTAGCCAGGATGGTCTCGATCTCCTGACCTCGTGATCCGCCCGCCTCGGCCTCCCAAAGTGCTGGGATTACAGGCGTGAGCCACCGCACCAGGCCCTTCTTCTCTATTTCTAAATTTAATTTTTAGGCCTTGAAAATAAGTAAAAACATACAACCCAGCTTCCCAGAAAACCATTTCTAATGGCTAATTCTATGACACCTCTTGAGCTACATTAAAAACAAGGTTTGGCCAGGTGCGATGACTCACACCTGTAATCCCAGCACTTTGGGTGGCTGAGGATCACTTAAACCCAGGAGTTCAAGACCAGCCTGGGCAATATGGCGAAACCCCATCTCTACTAAAAATACAAAAAATTAGCCAGGTGTGGTGCACCCACCTGTAGTCCTAGCTACTTGGGAGGCTGAGGTGGGAGGATTAGTTGTGCCTGGGAGGTGGAGGCTGCAGTGAGCCGAGATTGGGCCACTGCCCTCCAGCTTGGGCAACAGAGTGAGATTCTGTCTCAATAATAATAATAATAAAGGTTTATTTAATAATCCATCAGCTGAAACCTCAATCCACCAGGGACCATTCATTCCTTTGTAGAGTACGATGATATTGACAAACATATTGATAACTCCGAGGCATGGCAAGTTCTGAAGAGACATCAGAATCATTAAAGAAACAGTAAATTATATTTAGACAGATTTTGTTGCTAACTGTATCTTTATTCTAACAACTTGGAAATTAACAATTCAGTTATAGTATAGCTATGACAAGCTTATTAACCAAAGTTACTTGTATGCCTACCCTACTATGTGAGCTCACTGTATACACTTGAAAAATAAATGACATCATGCTCTTCTTACTTGAATATGTATTTATAAAAAGTATGTGGCTATTCCAGGGAAACTGTGATAAAATGGGAATACGTAGGGCTCAGGAGTTACTGCTGATACTAAGATAATCAGATCTGCATGTCCTAATGGTTTTGTGGCCCTGGAAGGTCACCTAGTTTGCAGGACACAACAATCAGATGAATCATTGCATATGACCTGTGATTAAATTGCTTGCAAAGACTATAAGTGCATTGCAAAGTTTATTGATTTCTCAGAAAATAATAATTATCTTGACCTTGTGACTCTCAAATGGGATTAGGTAATTCTTCCCAGAAGAGGCAATGAGAAAAGCAAACGGGCTTTCTCTCCCAAAACGAATTTGCTAAACTTTTCTTTAAGATACTGACTGATCCTATTAACTTGTTGGCTGCACAAGTAATGATGTTGAGATGTTCTTTCCCAGTGAATCTTGATTGGAATAGGATCATCTTTTCGTACAGATTTATCTCCAGAACTACGAATATTTGTGACGAAATGTTCTCAAATTTTAGTCTCATTCAAACTCTCAGATAATATTGAATGCCCAAGCACTGAGGTTTCACTTAAGGGAAAATACAGACAGTGTCCAATCTTCATGTCCTATTGGAGGTGCTACTCTAAGGAGTGTGTGTGTGCGTGTACAGGTGTGTGTTGCACACACGTGTGTGTTGGTATGAGGGTAAGTCAGGAAGGCAGTTCACAAGCTCGTTTATGATTTCTCCTAAGCAGAAAGAAGAGACAGAAAATAGCTATCTTTGGAGGGATGGAAAAGCAGAAATATAGTATAGTTACCAATACATAGCCCCACCCCAATGGAGTTAGTGCGAAACACTGAATAATTCCACAATGAGTATGCTGGAAGCTGCTGACATGAGGCCCCTGAATTAGAGGAAGAGAGTCTTGTGAGCTGCGTGACAAAGGAACTCAGGTCAGGACGGGCTTTCCAGAGGATGTGCACCTTGACCTGGGATCACAAAGAATCAACAGGAGGCAACAGGGTAACAGTGGAGGCCTGCGAAGTGTGTGTCCACGTGTGTAAGTGTGCATGCCTGTCTTTGTGTATCTGTGGGGGGAGCATGTGCACATGTGTGGACTCATTCTTGCTCATGTGCATGTGTGTGTTTGCCCATTGTGTGTGTGTGTGTGTGTGTTTGGCAGGTGTGGGTGTTTGTGTGTGTGTTTGTGTGTTTTTGGCATATGTGTGTGTGTGTGTTTGGCAGATGTGTGTGTTTGTCTGCATTTGGCAGGTGTGTGTGTTTGGCATGTGTTTGGCAGGTGTTTCTGTGTGTGTTTGACATGTGTTTGTGTGTTTAGCAGGTGTGGGTGTTTATGTATGTGTGCGTTTGGCAGGTATGTGTGTTTGGCATGTGTGTTTGTGTTTGGCAGGTGTGTGTTTGTCAGATGTGTGTGGGGTGTGTATTTGGCGTGTGTGTGTTTTGCAGGTGTGTGTGTTTGGCAGGTGTGTGTGTGGGGGTGTGGCATGTTTATGTTTGTGTGTGTGTGTTTGGCAGGTGTGTATGTGTGTGTTTGGCAGGTGTATGTGGTTGTGTGTTTGGCATGTGTTTGTGTTTTTGTGTGTGTTTTTGGCAGGTGTGTGTGTTTGACAGGTGTGTGGGGGGTGTGTTTGGTGTGTTTGTGTGTGTATGTTTGTGTGTGTGTTTGGCAGGTGTGTGTGTGTGTTTGGCAGGTGTGTCTGTGGGTGTGGGTTTGGCATGTGTGTATGTGTGTGTGTTTGGCAGATGTGTGTGTGTGTTTTGCAGTTATGTGTATGTGGGTGTGTGTTTGGAATGTGTGTTTGGAATGTGTGTGTGTGTTTGGCAGGTGTGTGTTTGGCAGGTGAGGTGCGTGTGTTTGTCTTTGTGTGCCGTGGTGTGCTTGCACACATTTGTGTGCATATGTGTGTGTGCGTGCATTGAGTCAGGTGTGTGCTTGTGTGTGTGCTTGTGTGTATGTGTGCATTGTGTGAGTCGGGTGTGTGCATGTGTGTGTGTGTGCATTGCTTGAGTCGGGTGTGTGCATGTGTGTGTGCGTGCGTGTGTTGTGTGAGTCAGGTGTGTGCATGCGTGTGGGTGTGCAGCAGGTGGGGTACGATCAGGCTGAAGGCTGATCAGGCACAAGGCTCTGGGGGAGAGCCCTGGTTCCAGCCCTGGGGTCAGAGCAGCAGGGGCCAGAAAGACGGCAGGGGTGAGCACTGCACCCGCTGGGCAGGGCAGGGCCACAGAAGGCAGGGCATGGAGGCCACGTGAAGGGCTTGACAGAGTGGATGGATGTCTCCGGAAGCACCTGCGTGGCCCAGTCAGCAGGATCAGACTCGCATGTGTCAGGGTCACCATGGGTCAGTGAGGAGGGCAGATGGGGACGGTGGCAGCAGCTGCTTATACACACACATTTAGGAGGACAGGAGTCGTAAGGGGAACCTTTAAAAGTAGAGTGAAAAGCAGCCCATTCAGCATGCCTGGTCCCACTGATGAATCCGTTAAAGGGGGATAAGTGCCACACAGAAGCCCACTGGTGTCTCGTGTCTGTGTCCGAGGGACAGAGCCGTTTTGGCCCTATTGCCCAAGTCTGCTTTTCCCATAACCTCGTCTCCACCCGGTTGTCACCCGTGCATGGGCTTGTTGTGGGAGCAGCTTCTCACCGACCTCCTCAGATTCCCCGTTTCTAAAAGGAGCTGCACCCTTGGAGACCAGAAAACCTGGTGACCAGAACCCTCTGTAGAGGCGAAGGAATGAGGGGCGGCTGGGAGGGGCCATCGCGGCTTGGTGACGTGCACTTTCCCATCCTTACTTTGATCCCTAGAGGACTTTTTGGCCGGTGTCTATGGGTGACTGTCACGAGCACCACACACTGGGCAGCTTAAACAACAGAAATGACACACAAACAACAGAAACAGCTTAAACAACAGAAATGAACTCTCCGTGATTCTGAGGCTGGAAGTCCCACAGAGCTGGGTCCTTCTGAGGCTCTGAGCCAGGCTGCTGGAGGCCTCCCTCCGGCTGCTGGTGCGGCGGAGCCCCGTGGTCTTCCCCCGCTCATGGAGGAAGCATCACCCCGATGTTTGTCTGCTGTCCCATGACCATCTTCCTGCTCTGTGTGCCTCTCTCCTCTTCTTCTAAGGACACAGTCATACTGGATTAAGAACCCAACTACTCTGGTATGACCCAGCCTGACCAACTGCATCCACAAAGACCCTGTTTCCAAGTGAGCTACTGGGGAGTGGGACTTCAGCGCGTATTTTGGGGAGACACAGTTCCACCCACGACAGCTGGATTTCTGCTGCTGGAATTCAGGGAGCAGATCCTGGAATGGGGACCCTTTACTGGATGATCTTGACTGAGTTGCTCTAGGCAAATGTGAGAAGAGGAAACAGGCCCTTGTCCTTGAAGAGCTCACAACTAAGGTCCAGACTTAATTTTCTTCCTCAGCACTGGCTACAAGGCTCTGCTCTGTGACAACTGAGGACCTGGCATCCACACGTGGATTTGTCGCCCATCCCCAAGGTGACTCATTACCGTGACTTGACCACAGATGCCCTCCCGTGTGACCTCACAAATGTGTATAGGAGCTTCCTTGCAGAGCAAGCTTTGCTACTGTGAACTCGTGAGAACCGAAGACCATGGGCAGCCGCATCTCAATGGCCCACTGCCATGCACCTACTGCTAGGAGAATTTTAAAAATCAGCATCGGACATCCCTCCCTGAACCTATCGTGGTCCTCCTGGCTACACAACCTGTAATAACAGCTCCAGGTGGCTTAAATTCTGTTTTCGGTGGTGGGTTGATAACTGTTCCCTGCCCAGAGATGTAACCGGTGCCGTAATGCCTGTGACCTGCCCTGGCAAAGGCAGACATGTCCACGACATGACTTCCTGTGTCCTTCTCCTTCCACAGAACCCGCAGGTGCATCTGCACACCTCCCCATTAGATCAGAGTGTCTCCAGGAGGCGTCTGTCTCCATAAGGCGTCTGTGGTTAGCTCATTTGCCCAGGGAGTGATGGGTATGGTAACCAGGAGGACAGTTCAATGACAGGGTTCATCAGCTGCAGGAATAAGGCTCAAAATCACCAGCAATGTGGGGAACTGGAGCTCCGGAGTCCAGCATCTTCCCTGTCAGGTGCTTCTACCTACTTCTTGTCCATCCTGAACCTCCTAGATCTCATTCTTTAATCAAAATTCACAGCAATTAGTGCACAAGCTTCATTGCCCTCTGCCTGGCGAAGAGATGCCACCTGTCTGCATGTGAGTTTTACAAGCCAGGAAATGAGGGAACTGGAAAAGCACAGAGTTTTTGAGCTGGGGCCACAGTGGCTGAGACAGGTACAGGTGTGCTGAAGCTGTGTCCTTCCCTTCCCTTCCCCGACCTGCTGGACAGGGCCTCAAGCAGCCACTAGCCCCACTAGTTAGCCGGAAGCTTCTACAGCTCACTCCAGTGTGCGGGGAAAATATGGTCATTTTTCTGTGTCTGTGGCCTGCAAAAAAGTGCCTTGGAAGAGAGAAGATCAGCATCCCTTTGAGATGAATGCTTTTTATTTAATCCCAAGCTCAAGTCCTGGAGATGTTATTGAAAGATTCCCCAGGTTGTTTACTTCCTATTCGATCCACCCGTAAGTTAAACAGCCATCAGGGATCTACTGTGCACCAGGTCCCACTCTGGATGCAGGTGCTGCTGGGATTCCCAAAACAGAGGAGTTCTTCTCTAGAGAGACCAACCAGTAAACAAAAGATGATCAGAGTTTCAGATGCGTGCGGTGGAGCTAAGAAGGGCAGTGCAGCCCCCAGCAGCTCAGGAGGAGCACAGCGCAGCTCTGGGTGGAGTGAGCCCATCGGGCGCCCTGAGCACTAGCGTGTGATCTGAGACTGCAGCCATGAGGAGTGCTGGGCGCAGACAGCAGCTGAGGTGACAGCACGGGGTAGAAGCCCCAGCAAGTCAAACGTCCCGCGGCAGCAGCCAGCTCCAGGTGTTGGAAGATCGGTAACGAGGCCACTGTCTGCTCCGCTTTTAAAAGCTTCTTGATACTCATCTGATTGCAGAAAGACTTGAGTGAATCTACTGAACATTTTTTCCCCTGCCAGAGAGCAACAACTGTGCCAGCAAAATGCCTGACACCCACTAAATACACACCTAAGACGTCCTGGGGGATCAGGTGACTGCTGCGGTCACCGAGTGCGTAATCCGTCAGCTGGTTCTGGTCAGGTACTCACTGGCAGCGTGCCCCCTAAGAGGAAAGCGCCCTTCCATGACTGAGTACATAATGTGCTTGGAAATAGGATTTTGAAATATGGAATTGAGACTGACGATAATAATGTGTATTTGTGACTACTTTTCCTCCTTGACCTCAGAATTTTCTCACTGTCGGATGAAAGCATGAGCATGCTTTACACATCCTCACCGCAAGCCCGCCGGGAAAGTGGCTAATAACGGTAATAGGAGGAATGACGGCACTCAGCATTTGCTAAGTGTGCGACCACGGCCAGGCCACGCGCATGCCCGAGGCAAGGGATATTTTCTGTTCATTAATAAGTTTTAGGTATAGTAGCTATAATAAATATATCAAGCAAATTAATAAATTATCATTCAACAAATTGTCCAGCACCTGCTAAGCGCAGGCCCTGCCTCAGGACGTGGGGAGGGAGCAGCGAACAGAACCGGTAAAATCTCTGTGGTCCCAGAGCTTCCCTCCCTTCAAGCCTCACAACACCCCGGCAAAGAGTTACTGTTCCTATCCCAGATAGAGTTTTCATCTGTCAAATTATAGTAATAGTAATAGAGTTAAAAAATAAATAATAGCAATTATTTAATACTACTATCAAAAATAATAGTAGAGTTACTATTACTATTATTTTACAGACAAAAACACAGATCTGGAGACGTTAAGGAATGTGCTCAAAGTCATGCATTTACTAACTGGCCACTTTACCAGCCAGTCATGTACCGGGGTCCCTCCCAGCGCCGGGGCGACAAGGCTGTGAGTGGAAGTTACTTTCGGTGCCTCAGGGTAGCTGCATCCACACGTGGAGAGGACGTGGGACTCCTGGCCACCCTCCAGCCCAGCCTCACCCCCAGGGGAGACGGGGACTACCCCAAGGGACACGAGAGTGAAAATGCACTACCCCATGGCCTCACCCCGCAGCCTCACCCCCACGACCTCACCCCATGACCTCACCCCACGGCCTCACCCCCACGGCCTCACCCCACGGCCTCGCCCCCACGGCCTCACCCCACGGCCTCGCCCCCAAGGCCTCACCCCACGGCCTCATCCCCACGGCCTCACCCTCTGGCCTCAACCCCATGGCTCAACCCCATGGTCTCACCCCCTCCCCAGCCTCACCCCCACGGCCTCAACCCCACGGCCTCACCCCATGGCCTCACCCCCACAGCCTCACCCCATGGCCTCACCCCCCCAGCCTCACCCCACAGCCTCACCCCCCCGGCCTCACCCCACAGCCTCACCCCCACAGTCTCACCCCCCCGGCCTCACCCCACAGCCTCACCCCCATGGCCTCAACCCCACAGCCTCACCCCACGGCCTCACCCCATGGCCTCAACCCCACGGCTTCACCCCACAGCCTCACCCCCATGGCCTCACCCCCATGGCCTCAACCCCATGGCCTCACCCCACGGCCTCACCCCCCAGCCTCACCCCACAGCCTCACCCCCACGGCCTCACCCCACATTCTCACCCCACGGCCTCAACCCCATGGCCTCACCCCATGGTCTCACCCCCCCCGGCCTCACCCCACAGCCTCACCCCCACAGTCTCACTCCCCTGGCCTCACCCCACGGCCTCACCCCCACGGCCTCAACCCCACGGCCTCACCCCATGGTCTCACTCCCCTGGCCTCACCCCACAGCCTCACCCCCATGGCCTCAACCCCATGGCCTCACCCCCCCCAGCCTCACCCCACGGCCTCACCCCCATGGCCTCAACCCCACGGCCTCACCCCCCCAGCCTCACCCCACAGCCTCACCCCCACAGCCTCACCCCCACAGTCTCACCCCCCCGGCCTCACCCCACAGCCTCAACCCCATGGCCTCACCCCACGGCCTCACCCCCACGGCCTCAACCACACGGCCTCACCACCACGGCCTCACCACCACAGCCTCACCTCAGGGATGCAGGAAGTGAGTGTGAACCGCACACTCATTTTATCGCAAAGACGCAGGAAGTGGGCATGTGCCTCAGTCCAGGGCCCTTGACTTGGACGTGGTGCAGACGGCCCAGGAGTCCGGGAGAAGTGCTGTGAGATTCCACCTGATTCTCTTGCCTCTAGTGCAAAAGCGGCATATTGCACATCCATCTGCAGTGTGAAAAGAACAAAACCTTTAGAGGGAAACAGACACATCAGATTAACACACCGAGGAGCCGAGGGAAAGAAGGTGGGCTGTGTGTCACTCCCAGGGACAGCTGCCTGCCTTCCCCTGCGACAGGTGGCCTCTGCCCGTGGACGTCTTCTTGTGGGATAATTCACAACCGTTCAGGTTTCCCTGCCTCACTATTCCTGGTAATTAGATACATAGAGAAAACGTGAGCCTCGTGTGTCTCAGGATTCTCCAGGAATTGTGCTTGGGTGAATGGAAGCCATTTCAGCCTGCAGAACGGCGTAGCCAGGAAGCGATGTGGTTGCGAGACACTCTCTGCTCTTGGAGGCAGAGTGCACGGTGAGGCTGGTGCAGGCACTTTCAGTCATCGGGAGCCGGTGTCCTTGTCCCGCAGAGGCCGATGTGGCCCTGCCGTTCTTTCCCAGCAGCCCTTGCCTGATTCCGCCTGTATCTGTGAGCACACACAGGGTGCCTCCAACTGCACTGCTGCTCCACACCTTAGGGGCTTAAAGCAACGCCTGTTTATGTAGCTCCACGCTCTGTGCCTGGGCAGTGTGGCCTGGGATGGGCTCAGGGTCCGCTGGGCCCGGCTGCCCCTCTCACGTGTCTGGTCAGCTGCGGGGGGCCTGGGTCTCTCCGCATCTGCATCTTGGCTGGGACCCCAGGCTGACTCAGCCTCGGGGCCCTGTTCTCCCAGCCTCCAGCCAGCTGGTTTGGCTGTTCACAGGCGGTAGGCAGAAGGTCGCCTGTGAGGAGCAGCACACAGGGCCCTGGGTCCTGGGACTGGCACAGGGGACGACTGCCCAGGCGATGTTTGCCCAGGTGGGAGCTGAGGCCTGTGTACACTCAGCAGTGGACACGTCCAGAAGCCAGACGCTGGAGCGTCCTGGAGGGGAGTGGGTGCCCGGAGGGGAGTGGGTGCCCTGAGGGGAGTGGGTGCCTGGAGAGGAGTGGGTGCCCGGAGGGGAGTGGGTGCCCGGAGAGAGGTGGGTACCCGGAGGGGAGTGGGTACCCAGAGGGGAGTGGGTGCCCTGAGGGGAGTGGGTGCCCGGAGGGGAGTGGGTGCCTGGAGAGGAGTGTGTACCCGGAGGGGAGTGGGTGCCTGGAGGGGAGTGGGTGCCCGGAGAGGAGTGGGTACCCAGAGGGGAGTGGGTACCCGGAGGGGAGTGGGTGCTGTGGTGTCTCCCTCCTGTCCCACTCTGTTCTTCTCGCAGCCATGGTGTCTGAAAACACAGTCCCTTGGGCTGCAGCCATCTTCAGGTGGTTGTGTTATTTACATGGTACCGTGACCTTTGGTTTCCTGGGGCCATCTTGCCTCTCTTTTTTTGTTTGTTTGTTTGGTTGGTTGGTTGGTTGGTTTTGTTTGTTTGTTTGTTTGTTTTTGAGATGGAGTTTTGCTCTTGTCACCTGGGGTAGAGGGCAGTGGCACGATCCCAGCTCACTGCAACCACCACCTCCCAGGTTCAAGCAATTCGCCTGCCTCAGCCTCCTGAGTTGCTGGGATTACAGGCATGCACCACCATGCCTGGCTAATTTTTGTATTATTAGTAGAAACTAGGTTTCACCATGTTGGCCAGGCTAACTCCTGATCTCAGGTAATCTGCCCACCTCGGCCTCCCAAAGTGCTGGGATTACTGGAGTGAGCCATCGCTTCCGGCCCACCTCTCTCATCTTGACTGGTTTCAGGACACACTCTGGTGTCCTTGATAGATATTCCTAAAACTTAACCTGATTCCAAGTCCAACAGGCTTTGGCCAAAACCCCCATAGGCAGATGTGTTCAGAATCTGTCAGGTTTCAGAAGAATGCATACATTGGCTACAAATATTGCACAGGGCCTGAACGACCCTTCAAAATCAAACACACCAATATTTCCATGTTAAAATGTCAGGCGTGCACATTTACTGGGGTATAGACTAGAAATAGCCTCCACAGTTCAGCGAGGTTCTGCTGCCTAGTGAGTGGTCAGCTGGCGCGGACCCCAGACACGCGACACCCCATCACCAGCCACCGAATGAACAGCAAGGTCTTTGTTCTCAGGACCTCCGGGCCTCAGAAATGCAGATAGAGGGTTAGGACCCTTGGAGATTTCCGAAACAGACTGTCAGCTCCTTGAGGGCAGAGGCTGGCTGCGTCCTAGTGCCAGCGTCTCCTCAGTGCTAAGCAGAGTGTCTGAGGCAGAAACGCCCAACAGAAGCTTGGAGGAATGAACCAGCTTGGCTTTGCCTGGAGGGAGCTCCTTCTGCAGGGGGTCAGTCTCTCCTGTCTGAGGCCGATTTTTATTAACTTCACTTTCAGCAAATGACCCTTGTCAGTTGGACCTATATTCTCTTCCTTGCTGAGGGCTTAAAGCCCCCTCTGCATATCCCTAAACGTCTGCAGACAGCCACAAAATGAACAAACTGCATGGGATGTTGCATGGGAAAGCAGGGCAGACAATCCAGGGCTAGAGAAGGAGCTGGGAGACCCAGCAGCAAGGAGCTCGATGCCTTCTGGTCTTTCCCAGACCTCACTGATGACAGTGCCACCCATGGGTCTCTGCCGCACCATCTCTGAACTTCGATATTCAATATCAATCATTCTAAACATCTCCTGAGTGGCCACGGTGGGATGGATAGTATTCTTAGTTCAGGGATTCCCAGTGGAGGGGGAGAACTGCATGTAAATTGATACTAAAGATGCACATAATTTAAAAGCAGCTTGAACAGATGTATAGGAATATTCCAGAAGGAGCTATCCCTTCTGCCCTAGGTAATCAGTGATATTTTCTCAAGGAAGTCATTTTAGAACTGGGCTTTAAGGCTTGTACAGGAGTTTGCAAGTCAGGTAAGGATTGAAAAGTCTTTCCAAGTAGAGAGAAAAACATGTGGAAAGATTTGAAACCAGTGTGGATGTTTGAAGCATGGCAGGTACATAGAGACAGTAGCTGGAGGTAGCTAGTTTAATACACAGATTGGAGACAAAATTAGATAAAAATATAAAACATATCTAAGGCTAAGTAAAAATTATTTTTAAGTAATCTGACATCGACTCAGTAAAACTGCCAAGAGACATGAAGAGTATAAAAAATATGAGATTGAGTCTTTGTCCCAAATAGCAATAAGTAAAATGCATTCCATGACTCCTATTTGCCAGGAGCTCTTCTATTGCCTGGTACATATTAGCTCACTTAATCCTCATCAGAACTCTAAGGGGTGTGTATAAAAATAATAACAAGCCCTGATGAGCAGATAAGGAAACCGAGGTTCACAGAGGCTAAATAGTTTTCCAAGGTCACATAGATGGTAGATGACCCAGGATCTGAACTGAAGCCTCTGGCTCCAGAATGAACATGATCCTTACCAGGACATTAGCACTGACACCACACCCAGATCCTCCAGGAGGACAAGACACACCACATCATAGATGCCCACTCAACCCCAGAGCAAGAGGACCAATGGTACCAGGGGTGGGGGAGGAAGGAGGGGAATATGGCACCGAACCCCTCAAGCCCGTGCGGGCCATCTCATCCCCGATAGAATCACTGTGTCCTGTTAGTGCAGGTGCATTTTCCCAGAGTCACATGTGAGGTATAACGCCATGAGAAGGTGGTTTACATAAACCACATCATGCTTTTCCTGTGGCAACGTGTGTGTCTGCGCATGTGGGTGTGTGGATTTGGGAGGTGTTGAGGTGTGTGTTCAGTTGGGACATAGCAGTAAAGAGTGATCCCAAAGAGGGTCCATAGGGGCCTTGGGGGTGGGGGGTGGGGGAGCATCCACAGTGCATGGTGGTTTCTCTGCCTGTTTTCCTGGTGGCTGAAAACACACATACACTCGGAATCGTGCCGTCTGATGGAACGTCCTGTGACGGTGGAAATATTCCTGTTCCATGTCCGTCCTGGTTAATACCACACCCACGGGCCCCGGGTGGGTCTTTAGTACTTCAAATGTGGCTACTCAAAATGAAGAAGGCATGTTTAATCGAGTGAAATTTTAATTCAGATTTCAGCGAAAATGATCACCTCAGGCTGCTGACTGCCACACTGTCTGCCTGACTCTAAAAGGATCCTGTGAGGATGGGACTGTGTTTCCCTCCCCTCTCTTCATCCAGCCCGAGGCTTTCAAGACATATTTATAATAAGTGAAGAAATCAAAGGACAAAGGCTAGAGCAACTGTAAGAAGTCCCGAAGCTGTCCCCTCACAACCATCCGTAAACACCCTGGAGGGAATCTTTCCCGTATTGAGAATTTACTTTCTAGAGAAAGAGACCGACTCAATGGCAAGGAATATTGTTGTTGCTTGTGGTAGCAGATGATGACCCTGTCCCTCACATGTGTCCCAAAGCCTTTCAGATCTATGCATATTTCCTATCTGTGCAGCCCCTGGGGGCCAAGAGGTCCTCCGGATGTTCACCAGCAGGAGAGATGGCATCCTGCACACGGTGTCTGCCCTGTGCTCAGAGTCTCCTGGTGGCCGGGATCTGCTGGCCAGGACTGCAGCCACCCTGTTCTTGCCAGTTGGCTGCTTTCCATACACCTGCCTCCTCCCCTCCCACCTCTCCAGGACGAGGCCACATCTTTTGCTCAGAGAAAGGCCCCAAGCATCTCTGCCACCCTCGCCCTTTCAGCCACTCCATGCTTTTCTGATTTTATGACATCTGCTTAAGACGTGGCAGCCCAGCTGACATCTGTCATTGTGGGTAGAACGTACACTGTCATTGTCATTGCTGTCATAAGAAAAAATATGGTATTGGTTATCCTTTGTGATAAGACCTCACCTCTGTGTAGGGTTGTTTTTGGCCACTATGCCCCAAGGGAGCTCAGGCAGCAGATACGTCCGGAGCAGCTCGGCCCTCCCTGCCTAGTGGGAGCGGCGGGAGATGGCGTGTGCCTCGCAGAGACGGAGTCGCAGGGTGGGCCGTCCGGTGCTTGACACGGAGAACGGCCATTGGAGCATCGTCATCACTGGAAGGGCTGGGCCGGCAGAGCCCCATGGTCCCGCCAGTCGTAGTTAAGCGACGATGGGGACAATATGTTCCCAGTGAAAACTGCCAGGCAGGCTGGGCAGATCCCATGTCGGGGATGCCTGGGTGAGAAGGCGGGCTTGGCGCACCCTCACATCAACCAGCCCGGCCCACGTGCCCACCGGCCGCCCTGACAAGAACACCTGGCCCACGGAGCGGGATAAACAGGCCCAGCTATGCTGACTCTCCTAGCACGCTGTCTGTGATGCGCCACCCTGCTTGCGTCCCCAGAAAGCTGGGTCTCCGCAGTGGGGTCTGGGGGGAGGAGAAGGGAGGTGGTACCTTCCCAGGGCATTTCCGGGGCCTCCTGCCTGCCCTGGGCTTGTCCCTGCTGCTGGCGTGGCCTAGGGCATCCCGGCCTCGCCTCACCTCCCCTCTTCCTGTGCTGGGTCCGGCCTCCCCCTCCCTCACCACAGCCCCCCAAGCCTGCAGAGCTCTGCGAGTGACGGGGGCTCCGTCGGGCTGCTGTGAGGGCCCTTGTGCTCACAATGGCCTGGGTCTGGTGACTGGCAGCTACTTACCCGCAGCTCCCCACTGAGCTATTGGCTAGTGTGCTTGCTCTCTGCAATTTTAAGCTGTTCCTGGCCTGAATATTAATAGGTAAGGTCCAGTATGTGGAAAAAATAATGACATTTAAACCCCTGAGCATTGAATCTGTATACAGTGAAATGATTCTGAAGTCTCCACAGCAAGCTCTTAATTTAGGGTTAGCTGAGGCATGAGGGTGCAGGTGGTGTTGTTCCCCGCATCTCTGCCGTGAGGGTGAGGGTGAGGGCGGCGTTGTTCCCCACGTCTCTGGGGTGAGGGTGAGGGCGAGGGCGGCTTTGTTCCCCACGTCTCTGGGGTGAGGGTGAGGGCGAGGGCGGCTTTGTTCCCCACGTCTCTGGGGTGAGGGTGAGGGTGGTGTTGTTCCCCGCGTCTCCAGGGCACATTCCTGTTTTCTTAATTTGGTGTATATTGGGCTGCACGTCCATGCAGAAGCTGGGAAAGGCCCTATCTCATTCAGAGACAACCTGATCACTGTTCCGCCTTTTCTGTTTATGCTGGATACAGATACATTCAGGCTATTATGAGACTTTTTTTTCTTAAAGCTTGTCATGAGAGAGTGTCCACTGAAACACGGCATGAGTGTGAGAAATGTCTCCTAAATATAGGTATACATTGATTGTATTAAGTTCTTTAGAATGAAACAATATGTAGTTAATGCCACGTAGCCCCTTCCATCATTTCTTCTCTTTTTATATTTTTAATTTAATTGTTGCTTTTGTGACATGGGATCTTGCTGTGCTGTCTAGGCTGGTCTCAAACTCCTGGGCTCAAATGATCCTCCTGCCTCAGCTTCCCACAGTGCTAGGATTACAAGCGTGAGCCACCGTGCCCAGTCCCTTCCCATAATTTCATTTTACTCTGCTCACTAATTTATTCACTCACACCATTAAAACTAATCTTGGGGATATTTTCTTGATATTATCTTTTTCTGACCTATAATTCAGTTGCTCATGTTGGCTCTTGACACTTATATAAATTAGAAATAAACTGGCAAGACTTGACTTTGTCAGTCCCTGACTCCCACCCACGGTAACGCGTTCTCAATGATGGAATTCAGGAAGGAGCAATCCAGGTGACTCCTTCCTGTGTCTACCTGGGAAGCCGCACTCCAGGCCAGGCGGACTGGCCATCCCGGAACTCACGAGCAAAGAAGTAAATATGGTCATTTTCAGCAGGAGTAATTGCCAGAGAGAAAGCGAAACAGTAATGAGATGGCACTGTGGGAAGGACGATTTTGATGAGGGCAAGGAAAGGTCTTTCTGAGGAGATATTTGTGCTGCTGTATTAATTTCAAAGCCATCATACTATTGAGTCCCAGGAGCAGGTATTAATATATAATTTCTTTATAGTGGCAATTGTAGAAATGCACATAATTTGTTGGTATAGCATAAGTGCTATAGATATTTTCCAGTTATATAATAATTAGCAGCTTTGTAGAGTTTATAGAACTATAGAACTAGTCACAGATCTTACACACGTTATCATGCTTCCTCCTTCACTGACCCTGGGGAAGCGTTCACCCGACTGTTGTCCAGTCTGGGATCCTAGCACTAACCTGAGAACCTTTGTTCCTTGAGTCACGCCATCAACAGCACCAGTCAGTCCATCAGCAGAAATCAGCCCACCGATTTCAAGCTCTGGAGATGCAGAGGTGGACTAGAAGGGCCCCTCCCCTCACAGAGCTTCCAGTCCAGTCAGGAAGGCAGAAATCAAGTAAATGAACCCCCTGTCCACCCATTCATTTGCCCATCCACCTGTCTATTCATCTGCCTGTTCACCTATCCATTCATCCACCCATCTACACATCCACTTGTCCACCCACCCATTTGTCCACCTGTTCATCCACCCACCCATCCACCTGTCCAGCCATCCCCCCATCCATTTTTTCCACCTGTCCACCCAGCCACCCACCCATCCACCTGTCCACCCGTCCACCTGTCCACTGGTCCACCCATTCATTTGTCCACCTGTCCACCCCCCCTCATGTCCACCTGTCCACTCACCCACCTGTCCACCTGTCCACTCATCCATTTGTCCACCTGTCTACCTGTCCACCCATCCATTTGTCCACTTGTCCACCCATCCACCCATCTATTTGTCCACCCATCCACCTGTTCACCCATCCACCCGTCCACCCATCCACCTGTCCTCTATCCACCCATCCCCCGTCCACCCATCCACCTGTCCACCCATCCATTTGTCCACCCATCCACCCATCCATCAGTTCACTCATCCATTCATCCATCCATCTATTTAGCATACAGATAGAGAGCTGAGAAGGAGGCATCCTGACTGAGGCTGTGTAAAGCAGGAGGACCACCCTGAGGGGGAGATAGGAAAGGCCTTCAGGAAAAAGGGATGCTGGGTGTGAGCCAGACAGGAGAGCAAGAAAATTCCAGGAAGTGGGAACCCCTTTGGGAAGGCTTTTCACCTTTAAGAAACTAAAGGGCCAAGATGGTGAAACATAAAAAGGAGAAGAAAATGGCAGGACCTGGAGCTGGAGGCCACACCCCTCATCCCAAGTGCAGGCCCTGTGTGGCTGGCTCCCTGCTTCCCCTCCAACCACATCTCCTCTCACTGCCCTGACCTGGCTCAACATCCTCCAGGAGCCACGTGTGTGCCACCTTGGTTTTCACCTGCCATCTCCCCAGACACACATGGGCCCATTCCCTCACTCTCTGTCCTTGTCCAAACGCCACCTCTCAGGGGGGTCTCCACTCTGCGGTGCCCATCCCCTAGGCCTCCGGGTTCCCGTGTCCAGGTCCACCCTCCCACTACATGAGTCTTCCAACACGCCCTGCGGTTTTCTTATGCCTTGTTTGGTGTCTGACTTCCCTGAAAATGTCGTCTCTACAAGGCAGGGATGCTTCTCTGCTTTGTCCACCAATGTATCCCTGCTGGCTAGAACAGTCATGGTCTCCAGTAAATATTTGTTGACCTAATGCAGTGGAGAACCACTGTAGGATTTTAGGCAGGAGAGGAACGTGGCAAAATTTGCATCATGACAAAGTTCACCATCTGCAATGAGGTGGAGGCTTTGGGTCTGCAATGAGGTGGAGGCTTTGGGTCTGCAATGAGGTGGGCTTAGCTGACCATCTGCAATGAGGTGGGCTTAGGTGACCATCTGCAATGAGGTGGGCTTTGATGACCAGGCAGGCCTGGAGGCTGCAGAGATAGAGGTGGCCATAGTGAAATTATCACTGTAAAAGGATTTCTCAGGCTTCCAGGCAAAAATAACTTGTGATAAATTAGGTGAACTCTGGGAAAGAAGGCCCAGAATCACAGCAGGAGGTCCCGGCCCCATTGGCTGGTGTGGACCAGCTTCCAAAAGTGCAGCTTTTCACAAGGAGAGGCCACGCATTCAACATGGAGTCCCTCCTGGTGAAGCAAGCCCTGGAAAGCAGAAGCTGAGGACCATGAGTGTTACCGGAGCCCGCACTCACACAGTCTCCGGCTTCCAAGACCGGAGTCAGCAGAGGGGCCCATGCATCACCAGGAAAAACTGCTGGATGAGGAATGTGCCCAGAGCCTCTTCCTGGGAGGAGGCACGAAGTGTCCCCAAGGCTCTGCCACCTGCTCCCAGCATAAAGGGAAGGATAGGAAGCCTTGTTGAGGTGCTGGCAGAAGAGTCCACTTCTAGTTCTGGAAGACTTTCTTAGGATGTGCTTTCTCTAAGAAGGCATCTTCTCCAGAAGCCAGGGAGGTTTTCTGGGACAGTTTCACATTAAAATCCCCTCCAGGAGTCATGGATGGGTAATTAGCCTGAATGCCATCATCATTTTGCCATGTATATGTGTTTCAAAACATCATGTCATACACAGTAAATATACACAACTTTAACTTCTTAAAAAATTAAAATCAAAAGAGAACTTAAAATTTAAAAAAATTAAAATTCCCACCAGCACAGCAGCTGCTGTCACCCCCATCTCTGGAAGCTGCAGGGCCAACGTTGGGAGCCGTCCTGAGGATGGGGATGCTCACACAGACCCCGGCTTCTGAGACCTGGGATCCATCACAAAAGATCTAAACTTGGGCACCTGTGTGATCGAGTCACTGGCACAAGCCCGGTCTTGGGGGAAATTGTCCTGTGCTATAGGGAAAATAAGAAGGGACTTCTGAAAAGAGAAGGGCCTGTGATGTCTCACTGCTGCTAGAAACTTCTTAGACTTCCTACATGACTAAGGTCAGACAAATGTCCCCACAGACAATTATTGAGCTGCTTTGACTCAGCAGTTCTCCAAGATGGCCCACAAATCCCCCAGGGTCTTTGGGACCTTTTGAGGTGTCTGCAAGACCAAAACTGTTGGCGAATAAGTCAGGGCCATGTTCATGAGCCTGTGACCTGGGCAGACATCCAGGATCCTGGCATAGAAGGTGCTATGCTTGTTTTAATGCTCAGCTGTTAGTCTTCAAATTCTTAATAATTTTTGAAGAAGAGCCCCCACATTTTCATTTTGCACTGAGCCCTGGAAATTACGTAGCCAGTCCCGATGGTAGTATTGACTTAAAACTTGGGAGGGTTCTAGGAGAGCCCTGTGATTCCTCCACCCTCACCCTGCTGTAGGCTCCCTGTAGAGTCCCTTCCCTTTGAGTCAGGGTTGGAATGATGAGCTATCACTCCTGTGATCATGTTAAGTGGCAAAACATTGCAAATGTAATCAAGGCCCCAGATCAGTTGGCTTTAAATTAATCGAGAGAGATGATTTGGTATGGGCCTAGCCTCATCGGGTGAGCCCTTTGAAAGCAGAGCTTTTCTTTGGATTCTCTTGAAAGGAGAAGGTAAATAGCCATGGTGTGAGCCATCTACAGGGAGGGGCATCTCAGAGCTGGGAGCGGCCCCCAGCCCACAGCTCTCAAGAGGACAGGGTCCTCAGCCATCACCCCAATAAGCGGAGGTCTGCCAACTGTCCATGTGATCTTGGAAGCGCACCTGAGACCTGATGAGAATTACAGCCCCAAATGACATTTCGATTGCAGCCGGGGGAGACCTGCCGAGGGTGTGGCTAAGCCTCGGCCACCCACACAGAAGCTCTGAGATGGCACCTGTGGGTTGTTTGTAGCCGCTACGTTTGTGGTAATTTGCTGTGCAGCAATGTTACTTCAACAGGCACCCTCTCATCGAACTGACGTTCACACTGATGGCAGCTCAGCATCCGCCAACGTGGTTGCGCCCAACCACACCAGGAGCCATGACATGGGTCCCTACCACGCGCTTGCAGGAAAAAAGCCACTTTCACATAGGGTGTTCTGGATGAAGCACTGAAAGCTTTTAACGTATTAGACCTTGGCCCTTGTGTATTTGTCTCTCCCACATCCCATGTGAAGATGGGGAGTGCAAGCTGTTGCAAACTGAGGGATGGAGGCACGTGTGATTGTTCCAGCTGGATCCTGCACTGTCCACTCTCCGTGAAATCCCATCTTTGTCTGAAAGAATGCTTAACGAACGCACACTACTTATTTTCTCCACAACATCACTTCAAAGAAAATAACTGACAGTATTTGTTGCCAATAATAAATTTCAGCCTTCAAGTGAAAATTAGAGTTTTGGAAAACATACCTGCCACGATGAGCTTGAAATGTTCTCGATCTAAAGACTTTTCTGATGAGATGTGTGGTATTAACAAATGTAATTTTCAAAATATTGTCTAGGCTGGATGCGGTGGCTTACACCCGTAATCCCAGTGCTTTGGGAGCCAGAGGCAGTAGGATCACTTGAGCCCAGGAGTTCAAGGCTGCAGTGAGCTATGATCACACAATTGTACCAGTGTACCCTAGCCTCAGCGACAGAGAAAAATCCCATCTCTCTCTCGTGCACGCACTCTCTGTCTCTACATATATGTGTGAGTGTGTGTGTGTATAAAATTTACTGAACCAATATTTTTTAATGATAGTGTCCAAGTACAAAATCATGCATGCAAACAGACTGATGACTTGTGATGTAACAGAGTGAAAAAGGGAACTGGTGTGGCTTTAGATTCCACAACTAATCTTATAGCACTACCATTTTTCAAGTTTTTTTGTAGCCACAAGGAATATCCATAATGATTGGAAAAGCCTATAAAAATACGCATTCCCTTTCCACACACATCTGCCAGAAGCTGGTTTTCTTCCTATACTTCCCCCAAAACAATGTTTTGCAAGAGATTGAAAGAAGCCATTATCATAATTCAGCCAACTTCTATTAAGCCAGATATTAGAGATTTCTAAAAATGTGATGCCATGCTGCTCTTCTCACTCCTTTTCAAACAATACAGTTACTTCCACACAGATGTTCACCAACTTCACAGTAGTTCCACTTAAGATTTTTCAACTTTAGGATGGTTTCAAGTGACACGCGCTCAGTAGAGACCATAGCAGGTGCACCCATAGGACCATTCTGCTTTTTTACTTGCAGCTCAGTATTCGACAAATTATTTGAACTATTCAACACTTTATTATAAAATAGACTTTGTGTGAGATGATTTTGCCCAACTGGAGGCTAACATGGGTGTTCTGAGCACCTTTAAGGTAGGCTGAGCTAAGCCGTGATGTTCAGTAGTCTAGGTGTATTAAATGCATTTTCAGCTTATAATTTCAATTCACAATAGTTTTATTAGGACATAACCCCATGAAAAGTCAAGGGGCATCTGTAATGGGTTTATTATTTTTTTAATTAATTAAAAATGAATATTTAAAATTTTTCCTATTTTTAATTTCTACCCTGGTAAATATCAATAGATATATCCTGCAGGGGAAAAGCAAGCATTTTGTTTCTCAGTGATTGTTAATAGTGTAAAAGGTTCTTCAGACAAAAAAGTTTGAGAACCACTGACCTCACCTGGCCTCACAGTGCACAGTGTTTGGGGTAGGTGGGGAGAGGAATACATTAAGGTTGGTCAGGGAGCCAATTGTTATTTGTTGAACTGCATCCCCTCCCAAAAAGTTATGTTGAAGTCCTAACCCACAGAACCTGTGCCTGTGGCCTTATTTGAAATAGAGACTTTACAGAGATCATCAAGTTGAGAGGTGGTCACTATGGCAAGCGCTAATTCCATGTGACTGGTGTCTTAGAAAGAGGGAAATCTGGACACAGGAACGCAAAGAAGACAATGCGAAGACACAGGGAGAAGACACCGTCTACCAGCTGAGCAACACCAAGGCTCGCCGGCCACACGGGAAGCTGGAAGAGGCAAGACAAAATTCTCCTCAGGGGGTTCAGAGAGGGCAGTGCCCTGTCGACACCTTAATTTTGGACTTCCAGCCTCCAGAACTGCAAGACAATAAATTTCTGTACTAAGCTACCCAGTCTGTGCTTTGATAGGACAGCCCGGGGAATGAAATCTCCACTGCACGTGTGATGGGTACCTATGCCCATGAGTCACTGAGCACTCTACTCCAGTTACCGCTTTCCGCCCTCCAGGATGGCCAGGAAAGGTGGTGTCCTATCCAGCCTGCATGTCAGGAACCTGAGGATGAGAAGGAATCTCTATGCCAATCTCCGTGTTTTCTCTATTTCCCTGTGCAGCCTCCCAGGAAGGTGGGGGTGGTCTGCCCCAGCTCCACGGTGTCACAGGACTAAGACTGACTTTGGCTGAAAACACTCCATTTGCTGATGCAGAGTTTATCCTTTAATTGTGGTGCACATACAAAAGAGGAAATTATTATTTAATTGTATTGGCCAAGTACCTAACCATAAAGTTAGTAACTCTTCATTTTACTGCTGATCATTGAGTGTTGTTGCTGTCCATCAATTTCATCATTGAATATGATAATGCAATTCAACAGGCATCTAGAGTTCCCACTGCACAGGGGAAGAGGGGAGGGGCAGCCAGACAGAGAAGGTGACTGCCAAGATAGAAACACGGATGCGAGGCCCAGGGGATTCGGCAAACGGGTCTGGTTGGAGCAAGCAGGAAACCTGAATGGGAGAGGGGACTTGAGCTGTGCTCAAAGCCTCAGGTGCAGGATGCCAGGAACTGAGAGAAGAACTGACAGAGTCTGGCCTGCTCTGAGTGGCGTCAGGAGACCTCAGAGGGGATCTGCTGACAGTGGATGGGGGTGTGGCCTGCAGGCATGTAGGACTGGCCCATTGTCAAGCCCTTCACTGTTCTCGTCATGGATACATACCAAGGAGCATCCAAGTTAAGGTGCGTTTCCCTGGAGGTGCACCGGCATCTCTTTTTCTACTCTTTGACTTTTTGGGGATGCCATGCCCCCTCCTCCCAACCCCCAACCTTGGGAACCCAGAATTTTCTATTTTTTCCTTTTCTTCTTCTAAGAAAATCTGCCTTTCAAGCAAGATTCTGAAAATCTTTTAGATTAATCTGTTAATGATTCTCCTCAGGGGAAGAGAAAATCTCATTTAAAAGTGAGTCAAAGGCATGGCTCTCTGAGGACAGACTGCAGCAACCTGGAAGGGGAGCGGCTCCCGTTTCATGGGAAGGGTCTTTTTTCCATCCACAAAGCCACGCAGCCCACCCACGCTGGACACAGGCTGGGAGAAGAAACGCTTCCCCAAGATACGCACGGCTCCTGGGAAATTCTACCATCTCCACTTTATTCTCACAATTTAGCCTAAGTAGGTAACTCCTGGAATGAAGGTCTTTGGTGCAGAATGACAGAAACAGCCTGGGAAGCGGAACCCGGAGGAGAACAGGAGGGCCACCCAGTGTGAGTCCAAGGCCGGCCACCTGCACTGAGCAGGGCCACGCCCACCCCGTGTGCTCACCGTGGGACCATCCCTCTCTATTTCAGAACAGGTGAATTGATTAGGAATCCAGAAGTTTGCTCTTCTCCACTTGGCTAACCATGCTCACATGACCTGACCGCAAGGCCCCCCGAGCTTCTCGCAGAGGTCACCGGCCCTCATGCTGCCACCGGTCAGGGCTGGGTTCTGGGGAGACACCCACCCCAGGTCCCGTGCCAGGTGGTGTGCACAGGGTCCGGGCTAGCCGCCCCATGTGCTGCCAGGCCACACGGAGCCAGGCGTTCCGTGATTGTCACAGGGTGGAATGCATGGAAGTAACTTGGCATGGGGGAAATAATAAATAATTGATAAAACTGGAGAAGCTGGTGGATGAGATGATTCTCCTAGTGACTCGTGTTAAGTGCAGGAAATCAAGCCGTCCTTTTGTGCCGTACGGGAGCTACTCTCACCGTGGGCAAAATCTTTCCACACCTGACAATTAACTTACAGAAGATTAGTCACCTCTCAGTTATCCAGAGGGCAGGTGACGCCACTGGAGGATTACCTGGGGTTCCCGTTCCTCCTCATGCTGGCACCTGCCTTCATGCCACCTTCAGTGTGAGAGCTAATCCCTCCTTCCCGTGTGCTCCAAGGGTGCTTCATTAACGCACTGCGAACTCTCTATCCAACAACCCCTCCCGTCTCCCTTCCAGGGTGGCCGTGTGGGTAACAGAGGCTGGGAGAAATTAGGGAAACTGCCGAGGTTTACACAGGCCACAGGTTGTCCCCTGAGAACTGACCCCAAATTCTCATCTTTGAGGTTAACACAGACATTTCTCTTGTCTGCTTCCTCTGCACTAAAGACAAGAAAATGAAATTCAAGTCCTGTAATCCAGGTACTTAAGAAGTGTTTGCTTTGGAACACATTGATACTCTGTGTTCTAAAGTTTGCCTTTTTAGATTATCTGTCCATTTCAGCCACCCATCCTCGTTTCGCTGGAGACAGAATTCAGCACTGGCTGTTGGCGTAGCTGCCACATTTTCATCTCGCTTGAAGGAAAATGTTTCCGATGTGCGTGGAGAGCCACAGAGGATGCCGTATCTGCTCAGGAGCATGTTGTCTGTCTGTTTGGGGATGAGGTGAAGTTTTGTTCACCGTGAAAGGATCCTTCACAGATGACAAAGTCACTGCAGGCTTGATTCAGCCTGATGGCTCAAAGGGCTTCACCAACCTTCGACAGCCTCTAACCAGCCCGGGGATGACACTAAGTGCAGGAATACAGGGTGTGGGCCCCTCCGGCCTCGGAGGGCCTCCTATGGAGGCCAGAGTTCAACTGCTGAAGCCAAAATCAACAGAAACATCAAACCTGCCTGGCACCCCGTACGTCCGAGCATGGTGGTGCTGCCGTCTGTGATCCAGGCTGAACGCTCCTGCCCGGCACCCTGTGGCATCCGAGCATGGTGGTGCTGCCATCTGTGATCCAGGCTGAACGCTCCTGCCTGGCACCCTGTGCATCCAAGCATGGTGGTGCTGCCGTCTATGATCCAGGCTGAGCGCTCCTGCCCGGCACCCCGTGCATCCGAGCATGGTGGTGCTGCCGTCTGTGATCCAGGCTGAACGCTCCTGCCCGGCACCCTGTGCATCCGAGCATGGTGGTGCTGCCGTCTGTGATCCAGGCTGAGCGCTCCTGCCCGGCACCCTGTGCATCCGAGCATGGTGGTGCTGCCGTCTGTGATCCAGGCTGAACGCTCCTGCCCCGCACCCTGTGCATCCGAGCATGGTGGTGCTGCCGTCTGTGATCCAGGCTGAGCGCTGAGCTCAGTGGCTATTGCCAGCTCAAGCACATAACTGCCTTGTCCTCAGTCTGTGGATCTTGGTTAACAAAATCTTTAAGCTCTTGAGGCTTGGGTTCAGCTGGTTTGCTGTGAGTTGAAGTCTGCACTCCTCTCATTTGGCTTGGCCGTGGGGACCCTGGTTAGACAGACCCTGATGCTGCGCACACCTCATTGCAGAGGATGAGATGAGCCCTCCCGTGTGCTTTCCGTATTATCCGAAAAGTCAGTAAATTCTACCCTCAATGAGAAATCTGATTTTAGTTAGTACAAAAGAAAATTAAATAACCAGGGTGTGGGAAGGCAGCGTGGCTTCTGAGGTCAACAACATGCCTCTGCCCAGGTGTATTTCCGGAGCAATAAGCTTCCTTAATGATCTCAGCCCTGGTGTCTTCCCATCCAGTGACTCAAAATCAATGCAGATCATCTTACCCCAACCCGGCCTCTCATTGACACGCAGGAACTTCACAGCGGGATGGGAGGTCTCTCTACGGAGTTTCCACATGGGAGTTTCATGGATGGGGACTTCCATGGCCACTGGTGATGCTGGGGAGGCTTCACAGAGAATAGGATTACACGTAATGTTGAAGTAGGGCAGAGAATTCTGTTCTCGATGAAACTTTCTAATGCTATTTCAAACCATTGCTGGAAAATGGCAACAGTCTGTAGCCAGGAACGAGAGCAGGAAAAATGTCATCAAAGACGGATCTTGGGCCTTGCAGGAGCCTCAGAAGAGCAGGTGAGGGCAGCAGGAAGAGAGGCGCTGGGAAGCCGAGAGTGAACTGGCATGTGGGGCCCACCACGTGGTGACGTGGGACCCCAGTCAGACCTTCCCAGGATGGAAGGGCACAGCCGGAGGGCGGCACCCAGAACACCAGGGGAAGGATTTTCATGGGGACCGTGGCCCAGACACAGCATGCGCAGCTCAGCGTCCTGATGTGGGGATGACAAGGGCCGATAGTAACTGTAAGGCAGGAAAAGAGGTGCCAGAGGAATGTGACATGTGGGGCCTATGGTACAAAGGAAGGGGAAAGCTCCAGGAAACACCAGGAGATTCGCATTTACAGTTAAGCCTGAGAAGTTAGGGAGGAAAGCAGTGGCCACATATTTGCTGTGAATAATAAGAGGAGATGTTTCCATTTGTTTGTCCTAATACCAATGAGCAAATGAAAATCCTGCCAGATGAGATACTTAGTCATTTTCATGGTCCATGAGTTTCTGGGGGAATCAGTACACACAAGTCCTCCATATCCAGAGACTGGGATGTGAGCGTGTTCCTGAGTGCGGTCCATTTACTGTGTCCTAATAAGAATCCAGCTACTCTTTCAGCCCAGCATCAGCCGGACTTCACTCTATACCTGAGGTCGGGGTTGTTTCTTCCCTCTGGTGTGGGGGTGGTGGGCACAGGTTGGGGTGGAAGAGGAGCTGAGGCTGGCAAGGGGAGAGCACAGCTCCAGGAACACAAGCTCCCGATAACTAGTCCTCGGATGAATGAACAGTGCATGACCTAGGAGATGTCGTAAATATCAAGCTCCGGTTCCTGCACAGTGAGCCGAGACCTGGGAGCTGACGCACAGGACGGACCTTGGTGCTGCTCAGACTCATTGCTGGGCCTTGTCTCCTGCATGCAGACAAGAGCTGCATTTCTCAGCTAAGCCAGGCTGGGCTGGTGACTGTGGGATGTGGACATGTGTACCTCCTGCATGGACATGTTGAGGACCTGGCGGGTTGGAGTGCCCACATCGCTTTGCTTACCGTCTTGATGATCTGGGAACCATCGGCTGACACGGGGCAGCCATGAGACCAAGGCTTCCAGGGGCTGAGCCAGCGTGGGGAGCACAGCTCCAACGGTTATCTCGGCTCTGAGGTTCTGACCTTGGGGTCACTGCAACATAACCAAAACTACCCTGTAAACTACCCTCACCAAAATAAGACAGCTGTTGTCATTCTTCCTTTGGGGAAGACATGTTTGCTGTGAGTTTCTACCGGGCCCATCTGGGGACCAGCTTGAGAGTGGAGGCCTCCAAGAGTACGGTGTTCACAAAAATCTGCAAAGAATGTCTCTGTGGCCCCCTGTGGAAACGGCATTAAGGTCACGACCACCTGCACCCGGTTCGTGGAGAAACTTGCATATTTCCTCCTGCCTCCACCATGAGTCATGCGTGCACCCAGGGCCTTGCATCGGGCAGAGGGCAGGGGCATTTCACAATGAGGCAGCACATGACTCACACTGTGGCTCTGGGACCAGAGGGCCCACAGCGCAGGCCGCCTTGTGCATTCTCTCAGACGGCACTAGCCGCATGGGCAGAATGCGCCTGGGCGTGACCGCTTCCCAGCCCACAGGCCCTGGCACTCTCTGGGCCCGACATGGGGATGTTGGGAGAGAGGATATGGGCACATGCTGCTCAGACCCTGAATACGGCAAAGCGCATTCTCACCCGGGGAAAACGGGGCTCACGTGGAAGAAAGCAAGTAGAGGGTGAAAGCTCTCTATCAAGCTTCCAAATATTGGAGCATGAAGCCAAGTCCCCACACAGCCAGCCTGACTGCCAGTGGCTTCCCAAGGAGAAGAGGCTTCCTGCTGCCTGGACTGAGAGGCGCTCAGTCAGGCGGAGTGAGGGGCAAGGACAGGGCTATCTGGCCCCCATGCTGGCCCCACCGGTGTGCCTTCTTCTCCAGCCTCTGAGGCGGGATCCAGCGCAGTTCAGTTCTGCAGGCACCAAGTGTCCTTGCTTTTCTTTGGATGAGGCTATGGTGTTTCAGGGCTGTGGGTCACTAGAGTACACCTGGGCTTGGCTCTGCCTCCTCTCCCTCTTGCCCTGGACATGGAGATGGGACGCCCGGAGCCCCAGGGACCCGTGGGGTGATGCACACGCACGTCTTCAGTGAGCTGTCAAGAACGCCCTGCATCTGTGCTTGTGGCACTCTGAGAGCTCCAGACAGGCTGGAAGCTGCTTCAGGACCCAAATGGCTACCGTCTCCATGAGGCTCCACATGACCGCAATGGCTTCAGCCACCCCTGCAGAGCCAGGACGCTCTTACGCCCTACAGACAGTCTGACGCCACCTGCTTGAAAGTGGGGCATGTGCTGGGCTGTGGCACCAGGCAAGCTTGCCGGGCAGTCTCCAGCAGCTCTTCTCACTCCCTGCAGTCTGGTGACACCCACGCTTGGCCAGGCCTTCCTCTGGGGTCCCTGTCATCTGTCCTGAAGAGCAACCTCTACGGAAGCCCTGAGACAACAACGTGGGGGCCACGACGGGACCAGAGGCAAGGCTGTGATCAGCCCTTTTATTCCCAAGTGAGCTCAGGGCTTGAAGTGTGTCACTGTCCAGGACCACATGCTCCGGAGGGGCCCGAGCAGCCGTGGGCACTTGCCCTGTTCCGGACCCACGGGCCTCACCCTGCACCCAGTTCTGCGGGCTCTGGCAGGGTGGGGGTAGCTGCAGGCGGGGTCAGTGCAGCTCCCACCCCGTGCTCTTGTGTTTCGGTGTCACAAACACCGTGCAAACAACGCTGACTCTTGAAAGCTTTTTTTTTTTTTTTAATTTCTCTCGTTTCTGTTGAAACGTGACACTCAAATTCGAGATGGGAGCAGAGATCAACAAACCCTGTCAGCGTTGTCAACCCAGGTGTGACAGAGCCGTCTTCCTAAATTGCTGCTCATCTGCCAAAGGCCTCTCTCTCTGCAACCTCCATTGCGCTGTTTGCTCACATACTGTTAACACTTTAGACTTCGCCCTCCGAGGTGTCACTGTGTGCCACTTAGTGCGTAAGGAGAGCCGTGTGAGCAGCCTCCAGCACGCGGATTTGGGGAGCTGGAGAAAGCTGATTAGCTATTCAGGGAGAATAATCTTATTGAGAGTAGTAAGAGCTGCATGAAGAACGCGCTTCCCTTCCCAGGAACAATCTCCTCATTATGTTGTCAAGCTTGCTGTTGAGTTCCCCCCTGTGCCATTAAGAAACCGTTTTCCATGTTAAGAAAGAGATTTCCAGATTGTGATGCTGTTTGCTGATTTTTTTTTATTGTTTAAAGAATCTGTATGTATCAAACCAAACATTAAAAAATGACTCATGTGCAGCATAATTACTTGCAATGAGGCACGCCGGACCGGCTGGGTGGGGAGGAAGGGGTGCGAGGGGCGCCCGTGGCCAGGCGGGGAGCGGGCGGTGAAGATTAGAATTCCACATCAGCGCGCAACACTTTCACCTCAGCGCGAAATGCAGTTGCAGATCGATAAGGCTTGATGGGCGAGGAGCGGGCGGAGAGGAGATGCAGCTGCAGGCTTCTGCGTGCGGCAAACATTTCCGCTCCGTCGATGTTCTCCGTGGAAAAGGAGAAACAAGAAGTTGGAGCTGTGCACACATCTGCCCTCCCGGACCCCTCTCCTGGCTGCAAAGGGAAGAATCTCCACAACAGGAAATGGGTCCTCCACCGAGAGGGGCCCCCAGGGCTGTGAGCAGCCCCCCAGGCCCGCCCTGCCCCCAGGCCCGCCTCTAGTGGGAAGGCGTGAGCGCGGCCGGCCTGGCATTGTTCTTCACTGGCGGGCACGGTGTCTTCCAGCCGTTGCCGACCGGCTAATTTAAATAATGAACAGTAAGGAGCTTTTTCTTAATCTCTGCATGAACCAGGGCACAAGGCGTGGGTGTCACAAGATTTCATGATAACGATTCCCGTCAAAACGAGCAACGCTGACGCCAAAGCCCGTGCCCCACGCGGCGTGCACAGCAGTCGGGAGCGGACGCGCCTGCTAGGGCCGCACGTGCTCCTCCTGGTGACTCGGTCGGCGTTTCCTTCGCCACTGCGGGGCTTCAGGCTGATTCTGGCAGATCCTGTAGTTAAGCAATTTGGAACGAATGTGTTTGGGAGCTTTGTGGTGAAACCTCAGGTGTGTTTTACAGAAGTGGGGATTACTGAAGGGGCGTCTTTCTTAGGTAGCAACCTGCATGATAAGGTGACTCCATCTTATCCAAAAACGAAAGTAAGTTTCAAGGCTTAGACTACATTTGCTGGTAGCTTCTGCTTTTTGGAATGTTCTACCAAATACCCAACAGCTCCGAAATAGGCCGTCAGTGATCTGCGCCTCACCGCCCTTGCTGGGCAGGTGCTGGCAGCTTCACCAGCCTTGGTGTGACTGGCAGGTGGGGGCCCTCAACCTCCAGCAATGGAAACTCGTGATCCCTCAGCCGGCTCCTACATCACTTCACTGTAGACACGGTGCCGGGTACCCTGCACACGGTAGTAACAAGGCAGGTGCGTCCCTTTCCTCGTGAAGAGCTTATCTACCAGTGGTAACAGTGCCATGAGGGAGCGAGTGTGCCCGCCTGTGTCTGCAGGGGTGTCCGGGCATCCTGGGGAAGGGAGGCTGCCTGGGAGACAGGGATGGAATGTTCTAGCTGTGGAGGCCAAGTGAGCTGCTTTATAGGACACTGGAGAAGATTTATGTGGCCCAGTGCCTCATCTGCACTTCCCCTAAGAGCTGTAGGAAGCCCCACAATAGAGCCTTGGATAGTTTTCTTTGGCTTAGGATGTTGGTGCTTGAGAGGGAAGCCTGGGTGAGGGGCCTGGTGACCCCCACCTCAGCCCAGGCCACAGAGATGGAGCTCCTGGTTCTGCCCAGGGAAGGAAGGGGGTGGACTTTGGAGTAGGATGGCCCCGACATGGTGCCGGGCTGGGTGTCCAAAATCAGGGCCCAGGCAGCATCTCCAATCTCTGCCCAGAGTAATGTGCAGAGCCTTTGGCTGGGGCGCAGCAGGGGACAACGGCCTCGATGTGATGGGATGAGAGACTCACCAACATTGACCTCCTCTGTGTGACCCTACAAGAACTTACTGCATGATTATTAGGGCCAGACCCTGCAGCAGGCATTAAGGAAACAAGTACTAATAAAGTGTGTTTTTGTGTGTTCAGGAGGTTGGAAGTAAAGCTTCCTAGGCAGGTGTCAGTGGAGACAGAACTGAGCCACCTCAAGCAAGGGCTCTGCCGCTCTGAACCTGGGCTCCCAATGGTAAAGAATAATAAGCACTTATTGCAGGGTTGTTGAGAGGCTTAGAAGAAAGTGCCTAGCGCAAAGTAGGTGATGAATAATTGTGCATTTTCTTTAATGATTGTGCATTCTTCTTTCAGCGTGCTCACAGTCTGAAAGCGCTGCCTAAATGCTGATTTCCATTTTATTTCTTCCCTCTCTCTCTTTTTTTTTTTTTTTTAAGACAGGGTCTTGCTCTGTCACCCAAGCTGGAATGCCGTGGCACAATCATAGCTCACTGATACCTCAAACTCCTGGGCAATCCTCCCACCTCGGCCTCCCAAACTGCTGGGATTTTAGGCATGAACCACCGCACCCAGCCAGTTTTGCTTTGTTTTGAATGACAGTATATGCATAAAACTCAAAAGGTACAGGAGGGAACCTCCTGGAAATGTGTCTTCTAATTCGTCCATTTGTGAAGCTGAGCCCCTTTCTCTTTTTTAACTGGGGGTTGGGACAGAAAGCCAGGCAGGGGGCTTACTGCACATTGAAACCTGAACCTGGGTAGGGGAGGACACTCCCCCAGCAACGTCCCATTGTCTGATTGTATGAATCAGCCATACGCTACCTGATCAGTCTCCTGCTGATAGATTTCTTTCAATATTGCACATTTACCCAGTGCTGCAATGGGTATCTTTGAACACGTACATCTTGCACATGAGTCAGTATATGCAAAAGATAAATTTCCTGAAGTGCAATTTTGGATGAAAAGGAATGTTGTATTGACAGGTAATTGACAAATGGCTCTCTGTAGATTCTGTTCTAATACATGCTCTGTCAGACACTGTAAGAAAGTCCATCTCCTACCCCCTACCTCCTTACCAACCCAGTGGCCACCCAACTTTTTGATCTCTGCCCACTTGAGGGTTAAGTCAATGAAATCTTGCTGTAGTTTTGAGTTTCTCTTTTTATGAGTAAAGTTGAGTTTTCTGTGGAGGAGACATTTGTATTTCCTTTTCTGTGAACTGTCTGCTTGTATTCCTTGGCAATGCATTCTGTCAGATGGCTGGCCTTTTGCTTATTGATTTGTGAAAGCTGTTTATCTATTAGACAAATTAGCACTTTATACTATGAATTCAAATATTTTGATCTATTCATTTATCTTTTCTCTTTGTCTCTATTCCTTTTCATAATTCAAAAATTTCAAGTTTTTATGTTGTTAGGCAAAGATTTCTTAGACATGACACCAAAAGGAAAAAATGATAAATTGAATGTCATCAAAATTAAGAACTTCTGGCCTTCAAAAGATACTGTTCAGACAATATAAAGACAAGCCACAGCCTGGGAGAAAATATTTGCAAATCGTATATCTGATAAAAAAGACTTGCATCTAGAGTATGTTAAAAACTCTTAAACTGAATGATAAAAAGACAAATGAGCCAACAAAAAATGGGCAAGAGATTTCAGTAGACAGTTCACCAAAGAAGATGTCATCATGGTAACGTGGCCTTCAAAGGATGCTCGGCATCGTTAGTCACTAGGGAGATGCAGATAAAAACCACAGCAAGATACCACTGCACCCACCGGCATGGCCACAATGATAATAATAAACATACAACAGACAGTAACAGTGTTGGTGAGGACGTGAAGAAATTAGAACCATCAAAAGCTGGTGGTGGAGACGGAAAATGGGGCAGCCACTTGCGAAACACCTCAGCAATTTCTCTAACACGTTGAATAGAACTTATCACATGGCCCAGCAATTCCAAAGCCTCCCTAGGTGTGGAGCTCAGACAGACCAAGAGGAATGAAGACACACGTCCATACAGTGACGTATGCTTAATGTTCACAGCAGCCCGAATTGCAAAGCACCCAAATGTCCATCAACAGATAACTGGATAAACAAATGGAGGTATATCTGTACAGTAGAATCCTACTCAGGAATAAAAAGGAAAATACTAATGATACTCGCAACAACATGGATACATCTCCAAATAGTTCTACTGAGTGAAAGAAATACGACAAGATAGAGTATACCCTGTGTGATTCTGTTTACAGAACATTCTAGAGAAAGCAAACTAGTCAGTAGTGAGAGAAAGCAGACCAGAGTGCACCTGGGATGGGGGAGCAGGGTGGGGCGGGGTTGGAGGGACAGGTTACAAAGGGCAAGAGCCATGGAGAGTGGCAGATGTGTTTGTTATCTTGATTGCAATGGTGGTTTTACAACTGTATACATATGTAAAAACTATCAAATCATTTGCTTTATATATGTAAGGGTTACTGTATAGCAAATACACCTCAATAAAGCTGTTCAAAAAATGAGAAATATATATATGAAGTAGCAATCTTTTGTTCTATGGATGCTAGGTTTTATGATTTTTTCCTCACTCCAATTATGAAAAAAATTCTACCCTTTTTTCTTCTAGTGTTTTCTGTAAGGCTAGGCAAAGATTTCTTAGGTATGACATCTAAGATTATTTCATTGTTCACATGTATAATTGTTTCCTCTAAAATTTGTTTGGGTATACAGTGTAAACTAGAAATCCAGCTCATTTTCTTCCAGTTGGGCTGACATCACTGCTTAAAAACATTGATCTTTTCTTCACTTATTTAAAATGTCATCTTTATCAGATAGTAAATTCTTGTGTATATTTGCTGCTGTTTCTTGACTTTTTTTATACTTTTGTCTATTTTTCTTCCAATACCACATTGTTTTAATTATTGTAGCTTTTAAAATATGCTCTGGCCGGGCGCAGTGGTTTGTCCCTGTAATCCCAGCACTTTGGGAGGCCGAGGAGGGTGGATCACCTGAGGTCAGGAGTTCGAGACCAGCCTGGCCAACATGGTGAAACCCCATCTCTACTAAAAGTACAAGAATTAGCCAGCCCTGGTGGCAGGCGCCTGTAATCCCAGCTACTCGGGAGGCTGAGACAGGAGAATCGCGTGAACCCGGGAGGTGGAGTTTGCAGTGAGCTGAGATTGCGCCACTGCACTCCAGCCTGGGCAATAGAATGAGATTCTGTCTCAAAAAATAAAAAATAAATAAAAATAGAAATTATATATATATATGCGCTCCAATGTTTAATATGCCAAGGGAAAATCATTTTTACTACTTTTAATTTTCAGAATCTCTATTTTTGCTGACTTACTGTTCTATGTGAAATTCAGAAGCAACATATTTTAGTCAGAAGCTCCTCACTGGCTTTCTTGAAAGGTCATATTGCATTGAGTGCATTAAATGGCATAGATGATCTCACAGAAAATGGACAGCTTCGTAATCTTGTTTGTGGTGAGAAGATTCAAAGTCTTCTCTTCTGGCTGTTTTCAAGTGTGTGGTGCGTCATTGTTAAGCGTCACCCTAACATCCCACAGATCCTCAGGACTCACCGCCCCCACACAACTGCGACTTCGTCCCCATCCAGCAGCCTCTGTCACACCTTCCTCCACCTCTCCGCTCTGTGTCGCCTGGAACCTCAGATCCCAAGGGCAGCTCTTGCTTTCCAGGGGCCTCGTGGTGTGAGGAGCGGTAGAAAGTGGCTGTAGAGGAGGCCCTGGATGCTCAGAATGTTGGAGCTGGAAGAGACCTGCGTCTTCCAGAATCGAAAAGAAGGAGAACCAGGGGAAAAGAGATCCTGACCTCAAGTGGTTCCATCCAAGACAGGGCTGGGCGGAGGGCCTGGGCTGTAGGGGACAGTGGTGGGCGGGCATCCGTCGACCCCTCCAGTGTCTGGGCTCTGGAGGAGCTTCAAAGCAAACTGGCCTCATCCTCGGCCGAGTCATCCCCCGCTTCCTCCACCACAGTTCCCTCCCTCCACCGCGCCCCCCTCCCTCCACGACACCCCCTCCCTCCACGATTTGTGTGTTGTTTTTCTGTTGTTGACTCCCTGGGGCACTGTCCACACCCACTGATGGAAAGCCTCCCAGTAAGGGCAGTTGGAGGTGACTTCCACTGGGCCAGAAAGACAAATCCCAGGGCCTTCTTCTGTGCTTACAATAACAGCCAGCATTTACCCACACCTGACTATATGTGAGTCATTCTGTTCAGCTCATTCGGTATCTTGGCAAGTTTGTGAGGCGGGCACGACCGCTGTCCCCATTTTATAGATGAGGAAACTGAGACACAGAGAGGTGAAGTGGCCAGTAGTTGACTTGGATTTGAACTCAAGCATATTAGCCCCAGGATCCACTCATCACAAAGCTTTTTGATCCATTATCACCATTTAAAGTAACAGAAGGAAAGGTTCTGAGGCTGACCAGGAGCAGATGAGCATGGCGGCGAATGTGCTTGGTGCTTAGAGTCTCGGAGGCGGCCTTTCTGGGGGAGGTAGGGGAAGCAGCAGCGGGTGGCCTGACCCTCACAACTAGAGTGGTCCGGTGCTATGGCTCTGCAAGGCTCATGGCAGCCTCTGTGTCCCTGTATCCTTCTTCCATTTATGGATTTATTTTTCCAATGCTCCAGGAATTGACCTGGGAGTGGATCTGGTCAGCAAAGTAATGACCAACGAAAAGAGCCAGCTATTTGCTGCAAATGGGGATTCTATGGGGTAGAGGGAAAGGGTGCAGAAGCCAGACAGGAGTGGATGGGGACCAGCTTGATTTCCCTGCGTGCTGTACCGTGTGGACCCAGCCTGGGATGGGCGAGCAGGATGGGGTGGGGAGACTATAGCCAGGGAGACAAAGAGGCCCCATTCACTTTTGCCAGGGCTTTGCCTATTCTAAGAAGTGGTCTTCCTGAATACAAAAGCTAGAAAGAAAGAAAGGAAAAGAAAAGAATTGGACCAGAGCAAAACCACACCCTTCTAATTCTCAGAATTGCTGAAACATCTCAGAAGGTCTCACCAGGCACAGTTCTAATTAATAAGGCATTACACATCATTTCTAGTAGCACTAATCTTGCCCCACGCTATGAAAACCCTGGTTATATAAAGCTCTCAGAGTAAGAAGAGGAGGAGAGGTGAAAAGCTCCATTTTCGTACCCTGGCCTCATCACCCATAGAACGCAGATGCTCCCCGCAGCCGCACTCGGCATCACGGAGGCACAGCATGGCTTCTCCAGGGGCTGGCGCCCTCCTGCCTTGCTCTGGGAATGTTTGCTTTGAAAGCTGCAGAATCTGATGAAGTGGGGCTTTCTAGATGGTCCAGCCCTCCTTCCCTCTGTCCCCGACACTCTCTGAAGCACACCCACTCCATCATGTCTCTATCCCTTACCCGGAGGAATGAAGGGAGTGAATTAAGTGGATGCAGTGTCTGTCTTTTGTGAGCTACCAAGTCGTGGATCCCGGGTTCTCCTCCATGGGTGAGAACCACAGGAAGATAGAGGTTGGAGGCTCACAGAGACCTTGGGAAGTCCTTAGGCGCCGCCTCTTGTTGCCTGGAGCAGAGGGAACCCACAGAACCTCCAGGCTGTGCTGCACCGGGCGCTGTCCACTCCTCCTACCAGCTCCTGGGCGCTGTTGCTATTCCTTCCAGCCCATCAAGTCTTGTTCATCGAGAGTGCTCCACAAAGACATCACTGGCTGGGAGGACAAAGGCCTTGGCCATGACCGCTGCCTGTGTGGCTTCACTTCTTTAAGCTGATTCTTCTGTGGAAAGGCTTCATCCCATCCACCCAGCTTTTCTCTGCAAATCAAGGGAGCTTCCACCAGGCTGGGGTGGGCGAAAACACTCCATAAACCAGAAGGTTCCAAATGAGGCCAAGGCAAGCTCCCTGTCTTTTGCCAGAGGCGTGTACTGAAGTTTCCTGGGAGAGCTCCTGCGTCTCCCCAGATCTCACGAGAATTCACTCACGATTTCATGGACAGAACCAGGGGGATGGCACTAAACCGTTCATGAGAAATCCAGCCCATAATCCAATCACCTCCCACCAGGCCACGCCTCCAACACTGGGGATTATATTTCAACCCAGGCTTTAGAGGGGACAACATCCAAGCTGTATCATCAGTGGCCCTGGTGGCTTTCGTGGGTGAAATGTCAGCGTGGAAGCGTCTGTGATCACATGTCTGCTCCGGCGACCCCTCCTCAGTCAGCTCCCCCAACCCCCACGACCAGTGTGTCCTTGCCCCTCTCTGCTTTCCTTCCCCGTGGAGTACCCATCCCCACAGGCGAACATGCCTGTGACTTCTCTACAGGGAAGGATGCATTTCCTGGGCAGAACATAAGCTCCAAGAGGGCAGGGAGTTCTGCTGGTGTCCCTGGAAGTGACAGGACCACTGGTATCTGCAGGTGCCTGATAAAGATTGTTAAAGAAAAAGATGGAGGCAGGAATGAGAGGCAGAAGAGAGAAGGAAGAAGAGGAGGGAGGGAGGAGGGAGGAGGGAGGGACAAAGAGGCAGGAGGAGAGGAGGGAGAAGAGAAGAGAGGAGGGAGGAAGGAGGGGAGGAGGGTGGAGAGGAGGGAAGAGGAGAAAAGGGAGGGAGGAAGAAAGGAGGGAAGGAAGAGGGAGGGAGGGAGGAGAGGGGGGAAGGAGGAAGAGAAGAGAGGGAGGGAGGAGAGGAGAGAGGAGGGAGGAGGGAAGAGGAGGGAGAAAGGGGAGGAGGGAGGGAGCAGAGGCCAGCATCTCAGGGGCCAGGCCGGTGGCACCACACACAGGGGGCTCGTGGGAGCAGCTACGCATCAGCGCCCTGCGTGTCAGCCCATTTCAGGGTTCAAGTTCATCGACTCCATCAGGGGACTCCAGTGTGCAATTACAGTCAGAAGTGCTTTTCACTAAGGTACATAATGATTCATGCTGAGAATGTAATTAAAATGTTGTGGTAGTTTAAAAATAATACACTATTAGGATAATACACCAAAATGGCTAATTCAGAATGAGTGCTTCCCGCTTTGATTGCACTACGGTGAGTTCTGTGCATCAAATACTTTGGTCTAGAACATGATATATATAAATACACCACTCGGCTATGCACTGGACTCTGGGGGGGTGACATTTGAGAATTTCTTTGCGCCGCAGAAGTGTCTGAGAGCAGTATCTCGTGCTGACTCTGGTTTTTGAAGTTCCGGCCTTGGATGCTGCAAAGATCCTCTAAATATCATCTCTGGATGGTCCCTGCAAAGATCGGGGCTGGACACCTGCCTGGCAACCTTTGCCTCTGTCCTTCTGCAAATTGCATGGGTCAGAATTCTGAGTTCTGAAAGTGCACAGAGCCCGCCTGCACGGGTGAGGAGGGGTCTCCAAGCCCCTCTGGAGCAGCCCCAGAAAGCAGAAGGGGAGTTAGTGCCCAGACCCCTGCCTCCCTCCGGCCCAAGCAGGACAGGTGGGATCTGTCCTAGGACATAAAGACCTGACATTTGCTTCTCTTACTCCCTAGGAGGTCTTGAAACAATGATTCTCTGACTAGCACTGGCTGTAGTGACCAACACACACTGAGACCTTACTCCAATCCAGGCTGTGAACTGGCTGTGTGCGCACTGTCCTGTGGCCGGGTTCAGACACAATTACTGTGCCCTCCTGGGAGTTTCTGAGTGGGGAGGTCTGGAGAGGCCAGGGGTAGGGTCTACAGCTCCAGTGACCGCCCGACAGAGGCCCAGGCTGCTGTTCGGGAGCCCCCGGAGAACCTGCTGCCCACACAGCACCTGTGAGACTCCCTCTAAACTGAGGAAGCACCCAGGCCTTGTAGGGCCCTGTGGAAGTTAGTATTGTTGTTCCTTTGTGCCAATAAAAAAATAAAATTAAAAGAACAAAGAGTAGGTTGGGAACGTGCTTAGGATCCCACACTGCACGTGACTCCCGGGCCCGAGCCGTCACCTGGCACCCTGCACATGGGCCGAGCATTTCACGTGAGCCGAGGTGGCACCCTGCGCATGGGCCGAGCATTTCACGTGAGCCGAGGTGGCACCCTGCGCATGGGCCGAGCATTTCACGTGAGCCGAGGTGGCACCCTGCGCATGGGCTGAGCATTTCACGTGAGCCGAGGTGGCACCCTGCGCATGGGCCGAGCATTTCATGTGAGCCGAGGCTGCGTCCTGGGCCAGAGCTGCACGGCTGCCGCGGGGGCTTCCTAGGGTGGCCGCCCCAAGGCTCCACAGGCCAGGAGGCCGAGGCAGCAGACACGGACTCCCTGCAGTTCTAGAGGCCGGAAGTCCAAACTCCAGGGGTAGACAGGCCTGGTTCCTTCTGAGGTCCTGCCAGGAACCTGCTCCAACCTCTGGAGGTGCTGACATTCCCAGTGGTCCTCGACTTGTAGAAGGGTCACCCCCTCTCCGCCTCTGTCATCCCGTGAGTGGCCTGTCCCTGGGTGCCCATCTCTGTGTCTCCACCTCCTCCTCCCATGACACCAGTCCTGTGGGGCTGGGGCTCTCCTGCTGCAGGATGACCTTGTCTTCACTTTACTAATGATATCGGCAGCCACCACATCACCAAATATGGGCGTATTTTCAGGTGGCGGAGATTACAGTTCACCCCAACACACCACTGGCCCCTAATCCCTCCTTGCCTCCCCCATCTGCACCCCCATTGGCCGCCTAAGCCTTCCTCTCCTCCCCCACCTGCACCCCCACTGGCCCCCTAAGCCTTCCTCTCCTCCCCGACCTGCACCCCCACTGGCCCCCTAAGCCTTCCTCTCCTCCCCAACCTGCACTTCCACAGGCCCCTAAACCTTCCTCTCCTCCCCCACCCGCACCTCCACTGGCCCCTAAGCCTTCCTCGCCTTCCCTGCCCATGCCCCACCCACAGCATTGCACAGAGAGGAGGGGTTGCTTCGAGGTCCACACCAGCTGGTCTGGGCCTGCCCTTCCTCCCTGCCCTCCCTTCCCCGCCATGAGATTCGGAGCCTGGGATCCAGGAAGGGGGCTTGGTGGCCATGCCCTGGCCTTCCCGTGTTTAAGCCCCTGCTGAACTATCTCCTGGGATCCGGGAGGAAGTCAAGGATAAATCCATGACCCTGAAAATCCTCCTGGCGCCCATCCTTTCCTTGGTCAGGGCGAGTGGGCAGCCCAGGATGAGGCCCAGAATCAGGCCGAGGGTGGCAGCCGGCTGCGGTCTGGTGTGAGTCCTGGTCTTGTCCGGGCTCCGGGGGATTCATCGTCCTCAGAAGCCAGCTCTCTGGGGTTGTAGGACTGAGGTTGCCGCTTCTCCTCGCTGACTGCCAGCCAGGGTCGCCCTCAGCAGCTGGAGGCCGGGCACGTGGCTGCCACAGCAGGGCAGCCTCCCCACCACCCAGGAGTCTCTCCTCATGTTACACGGTGGCCGCCCAGCTCGGTGCTCACTCAGACCTGATCTCAAGAGTCACATCTTCCTGCAGTTCTCACAGTTCTGCACAGTGGGGGGCTCCTCGTGGGCCCCCTGGAGTCCTGCCTCCTGGGGCTTGAGCTGTGCTGGGAAGGAAGGCATGAGAGTGTCCTGGGAGGGGCTGGGGGAGGGGCCGGGAAAGCAGAGGAAGGATGGTGCCTCTTCTGTTTCTTCGTGTAGTAAGAAGCCTCCAGCCGCACTCTAAGCAAGCTGCTTTCCTCTTAAACCTCGGTCTCCTTGTCTGTGAAACAGGGCCTGACTCCCTCGGGGTTGCTGGGAGCATGAGATCACGTCCCATGAATCACGGGGCTCGCAGTGGGACTCACTGAACAGTCACAGCTGTCGTTTCCATGAACACCACTCGGTGCTGCCCTGGACCTCAGCATGAACAAGGGAGCAGAGGCCCCCATGTGAGCGTGAACTTGGTGCCCAGTGTGGCCCACGTGTGGCCAAGGCCACAGGGAGCACAGGAGCTGGAGGTCACCTTCCCGATTTCCCTCTGGAAGTCCTGACTGGATACCAGCGTTGCTGACCTCTTGGCTGTGTGTTGACTGCATTACTGTGGGCGTCTTGAGCAGGCGCCTTCCTTGTGCCTGGGGCTCTGCACACCAGGTGGCCCCTCGGCACCTGCTCTCAGATTGAGCTCCCGGCATAAGCTCTCCAGCCCCACTGGTCACCTGCTCCCATGCAGCCCTTCACAGCAGAGATGTGGCCGGTGTCCAACCTCAGTCTCTGATGACCACGTCACCACCAGCATTTTCCATCACCCCGGGGCACTACGCTTCACCATGCCCATTGGTGACTGGCGGGTCCATGTCCACAGCCCCCTTTCTTCTCTCCCCACCCTTTTAATTTTGATTTAATTTCCACACCTCCCCACCCGCCACCTCCACCTCACGCCCGTGTGTGATTGGATCATGGGCCCGTTCCACTGAGGTTTCTGTTTTCCTTGATAGGCGCCCAAAACACTATCTTCTTTCTTGTTCTTTCTTTTTCTCTTCAAGTTAAAATGTACACATATTGAAATAAATCTTAGCTTTAAAGGTTTTACAGAGACACTCCTGCAATTTGCGTCCCATTGTGACACAGAACAGTTCCATTGCCCAGGAAACGCTTTTTATTTCCACCCACGGGTCCCGGCCGCCCCCAGAAAGGCTCTGTTGTGATTTTGTTCCCTCAGAAGAGTTCGGCCCCCCTAGACTGTCATGGGAATGGGACCTGCCCTGCGTGCGCCCGCGGCTGGGTCCTGACGCTCCGTGTGCCGCTCTGAGTGTGAATTCACTCCGGTGGTTAGCGGAGCAGTGGCTTGAGCTGTTTTACTGCTGAGTGCCGTCCTGTTGCTCCCACACACCACCTTCTGTTTGCCATCCTCCTGTTTTGTTTTGTTTTGCTTTGTTTTGTTTTTTTGAGACAGAGTCTCGCTCTGTCGCCCAGGCTGGAGTGCAGTGGCTCAGCTCACTGTAACCTCCGCCTCCCAGGTTCAAGTGATTCTCCTGCCTCAGCCTCCCGTTAATGGACAATTTGGTTGTTTGGGGACTAGAGTTATTGTTCAGAAAGCAGCTATGCCTCTTCATGCACAAGCATTTTATAGACCTACATATAGACCAGTATTTTCCTTCCCTCAGATGACACCCAAGAACAGAATTGTTGTCCAAGGCCAGGCACGTGTTGACTTTGTGCAAAACCACCCAAGGGGTTGCCCACTGGTGCTCCAACTGGAGGGTTTTGGCCCCTCCACATCTCTGCGGATACTTGGTGCTTTCAGTCTTTTTAATTTTAGACATTCTAGAGGGTGTGTGGCAATATCTCGTTCTGGCTTTACTTTTCATTTTCTTGATGACATATGACAATAGCAGTTTCTGAAGACCTTCAAAATCATCTGACAAAAGCTACGACTTAAAATCTCCAAGAGGTTTGGAGCGTGTGTGGCTGAAGAATCGAGCCCCTGGGCTGCACCCCCTCTCAGTGCCCACTCTGGGCACCCAGGTGTGGACAGGATTCTCCCCTGCTGCGGGCACTGACAGCTCAGCCAGCTCCCCTGTGCCAATATTGACCAGAGAACTCCATGTGGCGGGCGCTGGGTCAGCCCCACACTCCCAACCCACCAACATTGGGCCCATAATCCAATGCTGGTGGGTCAGCACCATTATCTTAGCCTCTTTATTTCAGTGCTTCTCGTTCTCATACTGCTGAATTCTCTCAGAGAAAAGAAAGAAAAAGTCCTTGCCAGGTGGATGGAGCCTCCCCGGAACAAGCACCCTCACCGGCACCCTCGTTGGCAGGCACTAATGAGCTCCCCGGGTTTCAGGCTCAGCAGAGCAGAGGCAACTAAAGAATGGGTCCCACTGGGTCATGGCTACCCTTCTGCCAGCAAGCACACCAGAAGAAGAAACTATGAGGCCGGTGCCAGGGCCAAGCCCACCTTGCGGTTCCCTGGCACCCTCTTCCGCAACCCCTGGCACCCAGCCAGCCTGGTTATGGGGTGGGGTGAGCTGGGCCTAGCCTTGGGCATCCACCATGGCCTCCTCTCCAGCAGTGGCTGGAACCTCTGGAAGAGAGGGGAAGTGCTGTGTTGCCCAGTCTCTGCACTCATGGGGGGTATTTTCATGAAGTTGTATTCAGAGACAAGAAGGGCAGAAGTGAGACTGGTTTCTTTGTTGTTGTTGTTGTTTTGCTTTTTGTTTTTTGTTTTTTTGGGTTTTTTTTTTTTGAGAAGGAGTCTTGTTCTGTCACACAGGCTGGAGTGCAGTGGCATGATCTCGGCTCACTGCAACCTCTGCCTCCCGGGTTCAAGCCATTCTCCTGCCTCAGTCTCCCAAGTAGCTGTGATTACAGGCATGTGCCACCAGGCCCAGCTAATTTTTGCATTTTTAGTAGAGACGGGTTTTACCGTGTTGGCCAGGCTGGTCTCAAAATCCTGACCTCAGGTGATCCACCTGCGTCGGCCTCCCAAAGTGCTGGGATTACAGGTGTGAGCCACCTTGCCGGGCCGACTGGTTTCTTAGAAATCATTCATTCACACACCTGAGGTAGGTTGAGACGACTGATGTTCTAGGAGGCATGAGTAGAAATCACGGGGTCCATGGGCTGTGACCTCTGATCATCTGCCTTGCTGCAGGCCTGTCATGGTGGTGGCGCTGACTGTGTGTGAGAGAATATGCTCAGGATGCTTCCATCCCAGACAGAGAGAAACAGAACCAGGAGAATGTCCAAGCTGGGGCCACAGCAGTCAGCGCACACGCCCTGGGGGCTGAAGGGCAGGACATGTGGGGTGGGTCCAGGGAGGGTATGGTGCAGGGGCTCGGAATTACAGAGGGGCTGCCCTGCTCTGCCAGATAGCTGGGGGAAGGGAGGCAGATTCTTGGTAAAAAGTGATGTTTATAATAGCTTCACAGCCCAGGCACTTCTGTCCAAAGGATGGAAAACAGTTTGCAAAAAATAGCCTTCTGGCCAGCGGTCACCTCTGAGCTGTCAGCAAGATTCAGTTCCCCACTGTCCCCCGCCCCCACCCTGCCCACACCTGCTGTGCTTTCTCCAGACTGGCCCAGCAGGCTCCGTTCCTCTGTGTTTCTTCTCCATGTGTGTCTGGTCTTATCCCCTTGGCCTCTCTGGAAAATGCCACCAGCCCAGCCTGACACTCAGATGTCTCTAGGCGCATGGTGGAGGGACTGGGGAATCGTTGCCAGGCTCGTTATTTCTGAAAAGAGCTTTCACTCCTGGGGCGGCCGGGCTGACCACAGAAGCCTGCGCGTGGCACGGCGGAGCAGACCAAGACAGAGGACCGTGGCCACTCCGCTGTCCCGGCCAGTGCTCTGCGGATACAGGGGGCATTCGTGTGTTTTATTTCTGTCTGCTTTGTCTTGGATGGAGAATTTCTGGGTTCAGTTTTGGTTTGTTTTGAAGATGAATGTAGAAAGAAGGAAAAATCAGAGGTCAGAAAAGATGGAGGCAACTCCGCCTGCCCACCAGGCAAACTGCTGTGAAACTTATAAATATTGCACCTCGTTCTCTGTGAAGCGCGCTCTTCTGGGAGGGGCCGTGAGTTCACGGGCACTTTCTGTGCAGTAGGGGACCGGCTGGTGCCTTTGGAGAAATCCGTTGTTAAAAGGGAGCTCTCAGGAACTGTGCAGAAATGGGCTTTTTCTACCCCTTCGAGCTGATGTAACACTAAAGAGAGTGGGGGATAATGGAAGAGGCTTGATCTCTCATCATTTACCTTGAAGGAAATAGAGATTTCTGTGCAGGAGCCAAATTTTTTCAACGAGCAAGTTGACCTCTTTCCTCCATGGAAGGGAAAGACCATTTGACCCCAGGACACAGCCTGGAGCAGCTGTGCTGTTTCATGGGTAGAGGGGGTGGCAGGGGTGCTGGGGGCACCTGCAGGGTCAGGGTGGTGTTCAGAAATGCCATGATGTGCCCACTGCTGAGGGCAGGTGGAACCAGAGACACACACCAAGTTGCCCTCACCTCTGAGCCTGCCCTGACCACCCGCGCCCCCCAGCCCGTCTGTCCTGTTCTCTCACAAAAGAAAAGACTTTGCCCAGTGCAAAGGGTGGGAGCCCAGCCACCTGCTCTTCATTAAGACTAGTAATGACCATCGCCATTGTCCTCACCATCATCATCTGCCGAGCGATGCCTGGGCTAAGCACAGCTGATCCTCACCCCAGCTAGGAAGCAGGTAGTGTCAGCCTTATTTTACTACAGAGAATTGAAACTCAGAACCTTGAAGTAACTCTCCTGGGACCACACAGATTTCTAGAGCCAACTGCAGACTCGGGTCAGCCTGCATCAGGAAATGTTGCGTGCAGTCTTCCTCCAGGGAAGCCCACCTGCCCTCCATACCCCTCCGTCTCCCGCCTCTCCGTCCCTCCTACCCCCAATTCTCCACTTTTTGTGGGTCTTCCTAGGCTCTTTGTTGATGACAACCCCACGGAAAAGCATCCTTTAATATTTATTAATTGATGCCACCCTTAATTCAAAAAGCAGGTGAATCAGAAGGCTCGCGTTTCTCTTAGAAAAACTCATGTTTGGAATAGAATTCTTTGTTATTTCCCTGTGGACCATGGAGCCCAGCTAGGATGCAGGTTGGCTGAGCTTCTGCAAACACACAGGGCCTTCTGATCTGAGGGTGTGTGTCAACGAGATAATTCCACCCACTAATTGTTCATCTTTAAAGGCTGGCCTACAGCTGGGAAAACATTGGCACACACAGGCCCATGGCCACAAGGCGGCTGCAGCCTTTATTCCAGCTCACCTGCTGGGGTGCCGCTGAGAGCCACACTCACTGTCACCTGCCACATGCTAGCTTTCCCAGTCATTCACTCAGAAATTCTTCCACCTGCCTGAGGAGGGGGTACTATTACGCTTCCCATTTTATAGATTAAGAAGTGCAGTAACCTGCCTGGGTTCCCACTGCTGGCGAGCATGTGCTCCCAGGCACCCAGCTGCAAGGCCTGGTGCTGCCGAGGGGGAGCATGGCAGGAAATGAGACCCATCTTATCCCAGAAATACTGGTGAAAAGGTGAAAACTGAATCAACCAACCAATCGGCAACTGTGCCACATACACAGAGAAGCCCCTGGTGTGGGGAACTTTTTCCACTGGCTTACATGAGATGGCTGCTGGTTTGGTGCCCTGCACACATAAGCAAGGTCATTACTGACTCCTCAGGAAATTCCCTACACATGAGCCAAGGTCCCCTTTTCCCTCCTGTGGAAGATCAATGGCACCCTTCAATCTGCTTGAATCTTGGTAGAAAAGTACCAGAAGCATTAATCATCTTTGTCTACAATAATTTACTTATTCATACTGGTCAGAAAATCCTCCTGCCGCCTCATCTCCTCCTGCTGTGAGATCAGAGAGCAGCTGAGGTCCTGGCTGCCCACCTGCCCTTTCCTCCAGGCTGCACCCTTGGGCATGAGCAGAGGTGCCAGGCTTTAATTTTGATGCCATCTTTGTAAACAGTGCCTTTTAGGGTATATTTTTCAGCCTGTCTTACTTAGCGCTCACCACCTTGACTCCCGAGTAGCTGAGAACATAGGTGTGTGCCACCACGCCTGCCGAAATTTTTAATTTTTTTGTAGAGATGGGAGTCTTGCTACATTGCCCAGGCTGGTTACAAACTCCTGGCTTCAACCATGCCTCCCGCCTCTGCCTCCCAAAGTACTGGGATTACAGGTGTGAGCTACCGTGCCCGGCCTCTTTCTGTTCTTTTTGCCTTTTGGGCTTTCATTTACCCAGTATCACTTTACTCTTTCCTTTATTTTCAGGCTTTTTATTCTATTATTTTAAGTATGTTTCTTGTCCACAGAACAGAGCCTAGGGATTGCCTGTCCATCTAGACAGTTTCTTCTTTGAACAAAACAAGTCGGCCTGCTGGATTTCGTGACATGGCTAATGACTTTATTGCTGTCATTTTCAAGTTGATTACTGAGTTTTCTTTTCTCTCTATTTTCTGGGTCGTCTAGGCACTGCTGTTTCCTTCTGCTGTTCCTGCTGGATTTCAGTTTCTTTGCAGGGTTGGTAATGGTGCCTGCCCTTCGTAATCGTCAGTGTCCATCGCAAGGTTCTGTACCGTTTTATGGAAACTTCGGACCGGGGACTTCCCCGACCCTGGCCAGCCTCAGTCCCATGAGAAGTGGGCTTTACATCACACCTGTTCTCTCCTTCCCACCCATTCCCAGCCTCTTCCAGTGACTTGTGTGACTTTGACTCACCCCTGCCCCAGCCCTGTCATGCTAACTCTTAGATTTTGCAGAATAAATACTTTCATTTCGGGGCCATTATTTTAGACTTTGCTTGCGATTCAATTCAGAAATATTTCTATTTCTGGATTATTTATGTCGCACCTGTATTCTCCCTCCCATATAAGCCATCACTGCCGCGTGTGCTCACCTGGGCGTGCAGGGTTTGCGGATTTCATGGCTCGCTGCTGCCTCCTCAAACACTTTCCCAAGAAAGCGTCCCACAATGCTTTCCCTCCCATCCACCACTGTGGCACCCCGAGGGTGGGGCTCATGGGCTGTGCGCGTCCTTGCCCAGTCCCCAGGTGCCATGTTGCTGGCTCTCTGTGCCACAGAGACAAGTCAGCCTGCTGGATTTCATGACATGGCTAATGACTTTCTTGCTGTCATTTTCAAGTTGATTATTGAGTTTTCTTTTCTCTGTATGTTTTGGGTTGTCTAGGCACTGCTGTTTCCATCTGCTCTTTTTTTTTTTTTTTTTTTGCCGTTTATTTGTTCTTTACTGCTGCAGCTTTTAGAATTGTTCTCTTCTGGCTAACATGGTAAAACCCCGTCTCTACTAAAAATACAAAAATAAATTAGCCGGGTGTGGTGTCGCGCGCCTGTAGTCCGAGCTACTAAGGAGGCTGAGGCAGGAGAATGGTGTGAACCCACAAGGCGGGGCTTGCAGTGAGCCGAGATCACGCCACTGCACTCCAGCCTGGGCGACAGAGCGAGACTCCATCTCAAAAAGAAATAAAAATAAAAATAAAAAATAAAAAAAAGAATTGTTATCTTCCTCTTCCACCTGGGAGATTTCCCTGAACACCCTGCTAGGAGGCTTTTCTCCTCAGTTCCTCCAGATCTGCGCGCTCCGTCTGGCCTCGGCCTTGGGCTCTCCTGAGAGGTGCTCATAGGCAGCCCCTCCCTCTAGAACTGCAGGCCCTGTCCTCTCCTCTCCCACTGCTTCCCATCATGCGCTCTGAGCATCTTTTCTCTCTGATCCACTACAGTGCTCATTTAGGTCTCAACAGAGACCATGCTCTACTTGTGTTTATCTAAGATTTTTTCCAGTAGGAAATCAGGCATTGGCTATAAAGCAAGGCACGTGTGGGACTCAAATCTCTATTCTCCCTGTCCTTGTTCAAGCCACTTGCCTCAGCCTCTGCCTCCAACTGCTGTCTTTGGATGCCCATTCCCGATGCCTGCCTGCTGTGCAGCTGTGGATATGCTGCATGGGCAGCCCTGGTGGGGGGAGTCTGGCCTTGGCAGCCCCTGCCCAGACCCAGTCTGTTCGAGGTCTCCTTGCCCCAAGGCTCAGTAGTAGAGAGCACAGCTACTACCACCTCCCTCATCTCCTGGGCCCGGGAGACCCAGGCCACAGGCACCGTGGCCTCCATCCAGGGGTCTCTGTCCAGCTCCTCTAGGCTGCAACTGTTCCAAGAATCCCCCAGTGCCCATCCCAGCCTCCTGTCAGGTCCAGAGTGGGAGGCAAGAAAGTCCTTCGTTCACTTCTAGGACTCCAGCAGAGCTGAAGCCTACCCTCCTCCAGGCCCACCCCACCCTCCAGCCCACTCCCTCCCAGGCCCACCCCACCCTCCAGCCTACTCCCTCCTCCAGGCCCACCCCACCCTCCAGCCCACTCCCTCCCAGGCCCACCCACCGTCCCGCCCACAGGAGCTGCTGGGCTCAGAGAAGCGCCGGCTGAAGCTGGAAGGAGAGGAGACATGCCCAGCCCTCCTGGCTTCCAGAAGCCTGTTGCACGGCTCATTCCACAGGCGCCCTGCACCGCTGGTGTTAATAAGGACAATCACATTAAGGGAGTTCCTGCCAAGGCCTTTCGGAAGTAGTCAGTTACAGCTCCGAATGTTCATTTATTTTCATAATCCCTCGTGGAATTAGGATGCACAGAGTGGCAGATACACGCTTGATGAGTAACAATCACTGCTCCTGACATTGGTACCATTTTCACGCGCTTGCCCTCTCTGGGCTCTGTGCTAAGTAACCCTACGTTTTAACTACATCCTCCCCCTTAATCTTCATAACATTGGTAAACGTGGCATTATTGTTTTTCCTTTTCAGATGGGAAAATAAATGCCTCAAGAAGCTGCACAGATTGCCCCAAGACTCTCAGGAGGTGAGTGGCCATAGTGGCGTGGGAGCCCAGGTCTGGCGGTTCCAAAGCCTGCTGGGTCTTTGTGGCATATACATGCTTTGCAGCTCTCTACCTGACAGCTGCCTGTCCCCTGGACTGTGAGGCCCAGGAGAACAGACGTCCTGTGTGTTTTCTTCACCACATGGCCCTGACACGGCCGGCCCAGGGCCCTCTGCAAACACTAGTGAATGAGCAAACCAGCCAACCCACAGAAGAGCTTCTCTTCCATCCTCTAATGACCAGGGCGTTCTTCTTCATGATCTCTGGCCACTTGCTGGCTTCGCCCATGAACATGGGATGAGCAGAGGGAGGCGTGGAGATGTGGGGGATTAGCGAGTGCTCTGAGGATGATGCTGGCTTGGGTATCATGGACCCTGGGTCTCATGGGGCAGAGGAAACAGGGGTGGGCTGAGTTCAGGGCAGGAGCTCGGAGAGCTGGCTCAGCCACCTGGCCGGCCCTCCCATGAGTGGCTTCAGCAGAAGCCCCAGCTCAGCCCCGGGACACTGAATTGGAATGCAGACACCTCCTGGGGCTTTCGAAGGCGGGATCTGCAGACCCCAGAGTGCAGAAAGGGTCGTTGTGCTGACAGGAGCCAGCAGGCGTGATGGCAGGAGGAACACAAGCCCGGGGCAGCTGGGCAGAGCAAAGGGGGCCCAGCCCAAGCCCACTCCGCAGGCTGAGCCCTTGGAGCCTGTGTGAGGACGCCAGGGTGTGCTGAGCACCGGGGCCTTGCACGGCTCTTTGCACACTCCCCCCACCCCCGGGGCATCCATCTGTGTCCATGGGGGCTTCCAGCAGACCCACCCTGGCCAAGGGCCGCCCAGGAGGGGCTGCGCTCTGCAACTCTCATCCCCCACCTGGCACACACTGCCAGTGAAGTGAGTTCATAGGTGAAGGAAGGCGTGTGCATTGAAAGACGGGGATGAAAAAGTTCTATTTTCCAATTGTACTTTTCCTCCCTGAGGGAGAACGTTTTGGAAAGAGTAATGATTGTGATGACAAATGTATCTTAAGATGAGGGCTGGCACGTCTTTCCTCATCAATTTCTATTCTTTGGGTCATTAAACCCTGAAGTGTTAAGTGGAAAGATGCTCACTGAACTGAGGCGGCCCTTTGGGGCCATGTAGGGGAGGCGATCCCCAGGCCTTCTTAGCGTCCATCGGATAGCAGTGTTTTGTGAAATCTTTGCACATCCACCTACAAAGTGGTTTTTAAAGCGGCCTGCAGTTTTGACGGGACACACTGTCAACCCACATTCCACCTGCCCTCCAGCCATGCCTGTTTCCCACGGCTCTGGTGTGTCAGCCTTGCACACATCATGTATCCAGAGCCCTCTCTGCCTGCCAGACACAGCCACAGGCAGCAAACATGCCCCGAGCAGCCGCTGTAATGTCTGGACAAAAAGAACGTCTGATGGCCACAGAGCTTGGGCCTCCTTTTCTAGTAAAATCCCATGTCCATGTTCCTACAAGCATCCGGTGGTCACCTGGCCGGTGCCTCTGTGGAGCCAGTAAGAAGCAGCAGCTCCCCTCAGTTGAAGCCCCACTTACAATGTGTCAGCCTCACCCCTGCAAGAGGTGCGGGCCCTCCCTTGATGGCTAGGACGGAATCCGGGCCCAGCCCGTCACCTTCCTCCCATGCTTGGGGACCGCTGCCCCCCCATCCCCCCGCCCCCAGGCCTGAGTGGAAGGCGCTTCTGGAGAACGTTCTGTTGGTCTCAAGTCTCCGGTGTCAGCTCCCTTGCTTGAGTTTGAGTTGAATTCCGGGAATGGCTCAGGGCCCGTGTCCCTGCAGCAGCCTGTTCTATGGGTGGTGCTGCATCCTGCAGGCTGGGTGCTCCTGGGGGCTGAGACCTCAGGCTGGCCGCTGACCCCTGATGGCATCCACCACACTGTGTGGGGGCGGTTCTTAGCCAGGCAGGAAGCACCCCCAGAGGATGCTGGAAGGAATGTCCTCACAGCTCACAGGAGACCCTTTGGTTTCCTCAGCCATCCCCCAGAGAAGCCGCAGGCATCATCTTTGGGAGTGGCAGGTGACATCCTAGGGTTTTCCTTGTGTAACCTCAGGCACCTGGAGTCCCGGCTGCTGCTCCATGCCACCCTGAGGCACATACCTATCGCCAGTGGGCATGAATGGCCCCTGTGTTTCCCTCCTTTGTAATGTCGGGGCAGGTGGCAGAACGGCCACGTCAAGGTCATATCCAAACCCAGGAAGTCCTCAGCGCAGCAGAGGCTGACTTCCTGATTCACCTGCTACTGTCTCCTGAGGCCTCAATAAAATAATAGTAAGGAGGTTTTTTTTTAAAGGACACAAACGCAGGACAGACAGCTGTGGGAAAGAGGCAATAGGAACACATTTTGGAAGCTGCACAACAGATGCATGAGGAGGGACTGAATTAGCTGAGGCGAGCTGCTGAGAGCTGAGCTGCAGAGGCCATCATGACCGAGGATGTGCATTTATCCTGGGCTCTCAAGGAGGGTAAGGGACAGGGCTTCCAGGGTACCAGGTGGATAGCGGGACTGGGAGTGGCAAGACTATTTCAGAAGCAGGTGCTTGGCCAGGTGTTCCTCCACCCCCAGGTAGCCTGCCACGCCCACCTCAGGTGGAGTCTGGAGGATGGGGAAGAGACTCCAGACTGAGGGCACTGGGCAGAGCCAAGGGCAAGAGGATTCAGGGTTTCTTTGTTGTCACAGGATGCGGGGGCTGCCTCTTTTTTTGGGTGGTTTCCCAGGTCACTGGCTGAAAGCACGTCAGATCCCTGGCAGGAAGATGAAGGATTCCTTTTTAGGGAGACTTATGGACTCAAAGAAAAAAAAAAGATTCTAAACACTTCCAGAGATTTAAAAACAAGTAAAGGACTAGAATCAAGGTTTATTAGTCTTCTCAACAGCAATATTTGAAGCCAGGAGGTAATGGAAAATTGTCTTCAAAATTTTATGGGAAAAATAGTTTTCTACTAGAATTTTAACCCAAATGAACAAACTATCAATCGAGACAATTCAGACACACAATTGTTCAATAAACACATGTCTCACTCTTTCAGTGAGGCTCTGAGAGATGTACCCCACAAAATGAGAGACAAAGACTTGGGATTCAAGAAACCAAGAATCCAAAAGGAAAGAGGCAATGGGAATCCCCAGAGTGAAAGGGAAGGGAAGCTAAGGAATCCGGTGCTGAAGAGGAAGGGAGGCTGCAGGAGGGGCATCTCCCAGGGATGATGAAAACACAAAGGGCCTTTTGCATTTGGAGAGGAGATTTACAATTCTCACAGAGAATTTAGGGCTGAGTTAGTGATATGTATATGAAAAATGAATCCAATGAAAAAGCAATTAAGTCCAGGAAAAACAAACTAAAAAAAAAATTATTTAAGGAGGAAACTGTATTTATAGTACACTACATGTCTCAGCTGTGAGTGATATTTATACAATGTCATGACATTTAATTGATCTACTGGAATACTGATCTGTTCAGACATTACAAACAGCAGTGGGTGTGTGGGGTAGGAAAGACCTTGATAACAAGTAGGGACATGGTACAGAGATGCTGAATTCTTATTTTTCATTACATGAAGTCAGTAGCCAAAACTGAACAAAATAAAGTCAGCAAATAGAAATATAAGCATGCTATTTAGAAATGTGGGGATAAACAGGTGCAGTTTTAGCTTTTAAGTGGATTACCTCTGGGGACTGGAATGGACACTGCCCTGCAGATCTGTTGGTGGGTTTTTGTGTTTTGTGTGTGTGTGTGTGTGTGTGTGTGTGTGTGTGTGTGTGTAAGATGAGTCTTGCTCTGTCACCCAGGGTTGAATGCAGTGGCACAATCTCAGCTCACTGCAATCTCTGTCTCTGGGTCCAAGTGATTCTCTTGCCTCAGCCTTCCGAATAGCTGGGATTACAGACATGTGCCACCATGCCAGCTACTTTTTGTATTTTTAGTAGAGACAGTTTTCACCATGTTGGCCAGCCTGGTCTCAAACTCCTGACCTCAAGTGATCCACCCACCTTGGCCTCCCAAAGTGTTGGGATTACAGGCATGAGCCACCACGCCCAGCCTGTGTTTGAGACTAGTCAAGTGCAGTAGTGAGAAGGGAAGAAAGAGTAGAACCTAATGGAGGTTTATTTTCCTGTTTTTTACTTTTTTAGATACAGGGTCTCACTCTGTTGCCTAGGCTGGAGTGCAGTGGCGAGATCATGGATCACAACAGCCTCAAACTCCTGGCTTCAAGCAGTCCGCCTACTTCAGCCTCCAAGTAGCTCGAACAACAGGCATGTACTACTGCACCCAGCCTGGGCTTTTAACCTATGTACATTAAATGTATAACTGATTAAAAAAAATTTGGCAATTTAAAAAAACAATGAAAGGATATGCTGAGTTTCTGGCACTTTCTGGCTTTTTTTTTTTTTTTTTTTTGAGACGGAGTCTCGCTCTGTCGCCCAGGCTGGAGTGCAGTGGCGGGATCTCGGCTCACTGCAAGCTCCGCCTCCCGGGTTCACGCCATTCTCCTGCCTCAGCCTCCCGAGTAGCTGGGACTACAGGCGCCCGCCACCGCGCCCGGCTAATTTTTTGTATTTTTAGTAGAGACGGGGTTTCACCGTGTTAGCCAGGATGGTCTCGATCTCCTGACCTCGTGATCCGCCCGCCTCGGCCTCCCAACACTTTCTGGCATTTTCCAGCATTCATACAATTGATGAGTATGAATAATTCAAGACCAGAAACTGGTATTTTTTTTGCAATTAGGTAAAAAAAAAATTAACTGATTTTCACCTCATTATCTAATTATTCCCTATTCCCTAATTATCTGTGTGGACTTCGCAATAATTGGAAATGGTAAAAGATGAGGTGGAAAAGAAGTCAAGATGTATGTGTAATGGGCTGTAGTGCTATTCCTGGTCTTAAATGGGCAACAAGGAAAACTGTCTTTCCCTGAGCAGGGCGTCGGCCCCTCTAAGCTGTATTCTGTATGTAGGTGTCTGAGTGAAAATTCCACTCGGATAGTTTCAGTGCATTCATGCTCCATGTAATGCTGTTTGGAATATATATTTAACCAGAAAGGTAATTTCGCCGCCTCCTTTATCTCTGCTTCTTACCTGAAAAGAGAGTTATAGTGTTGAGTCCTGCCCCCTTGAGTTCCTGCCTTGGTCCAACCGAGGACAACACAGGAGCTCTGCAGGAATTACTGGGGTCTGGGTCTCAGATGCGGCTGGGTGCTCTTTCTCTCCCGGGTCCCCTCACCCACAGTCACCGCTGTGCACAGTTCCCGGGGAGCAGGGCTGCGGGCCAGGTGCAGCAGGGGCCTGTGTTCATGTGACCCTTGGCATGTCCGCCTCATCCTCAGTGTGCTCAGGGGCCAATCCCAGTCCGTGATGAGGACCAGCATCGGCCCGGGAACACTGGGTCACACTTGTCAGACAAGGACCAACTTCTCTTTCTGTGCTGGCTCCATTGCCCCAAACTTGAAGGGACAGGACAGGCGTCCCTGACTGTGCGAGGGGTACAGGAGCCCCACACCGGGAGCTTCGCCCACCCCAGGCTCTGCCAGGTACCCGGGACGCCGGCAGGTCCTGAATGTGAGGGGAGGCTGGGGCTGCTGTCCAGGTCCTGTCCCTCCCACCGGCTCAGGGCAGCCTCACTGCTGCTGGGTGACCCCAGCTACACTCTGGGGGTGACAGAGCAGGGAGCCCCACCTGGGCATCATGGATGTAATGGGGGAAGGCACCCTAGAACTCAGCCGGCCTCCGTGTGGGGGAGCATCTTTGTTTAAGCCAAGGCTAGTGGGGATCTGATGGGTAAACTGAGGAAACAGCTGTGCTCAAGTCATGAGTAGGGCAGGATCTGCCTCCCCCATGCTGGATGGGGCCTGGGACCCCAGAGCACCAGAAAATGAGTCCAGGCCTCCCCCACGCTGGAGAGGCCCTGGGATCCTGGAGCAAAAATTGAGTCCAGGCCTCTCCCATGCTGGATGGGCCCTGGGATCCCGGAGAACACCAGAAAGTGAGTCCAGGCCTGAGTGTAAGGACAAGGACATGAGCCCAGAGGGACAGGACCCTCCTAGGCGCACGGCAAGGTGCGCAGGCGGTTAGAACAGGTGCTAGGGAGGGTCCCGCAGCCCCCGGAGCAGGCGAGGCTGCCAGGTGGCTGCCACCTTCCTTCCCCCCAGCACACCAGTTTCCAGCAGGGCTTCTGTGAGCATTTTGGTTCCCCAAGCAGCCCACAGCAGGTTCTGTTCCCAGGCCCTAGAGAGAGCCCATGGCTCTGGTCACCAGGAAAATATGCTCAAAATGAGGCTGTGCTTCCTGTTCTGTGGCTTCAGAGACCTGCACACTGTCTGCCCTATGGCCCCATGTCTGTTGGTGTAGACAGACTGTTCTGATTAAAACATCACTCCTGTTCCCTCCAGAGAGCATGTCTTCTCCTCACCCACCACCACCTCCACCCACAGATCAGGGCTTCTCAAACTGCAGCGCCTGTTAGAACACCCAGCACGGTTTGCTGAGACACAGGGGCTACGTCCCATCCCTGAGTCGCCATCCAGAGGACGCAGGTGCAACGGAAGAACTCGCTGAGCTTATGAGTTCCCAGGTGATGCTGATGCTGCAGGTCTGGAAGGCCTCCTCTGAGAACCACGGGCCAGGCTCTTACAGAGATCGAACAGTAGGAGATGGCACAAGGGGTCGCAGTGGCCCATAAATAGCCTCAAATTCCGCCAGCATTCAGCTTGATCTTTTCCCTCCTGGTAAACAGGGTTGGAACCCCGACGCCTCCCCCCTCTACCACAGAAAGGCACGTCTGAGCCCCGCTTGGCCCCCAGGTGCTGTCCTCTGCCCACGTGTGGCCTCAATGCCGTCTCATCTGGACCTTTGTAAAGAAAGCGGTTTTCAATTAGAGCCTGTGCTGTCTGCGCGCCCAGGGCACTCACCCAGGCGGCCGTACGAGAGGCCCATCTCTCAAGGGCCACTGTGAAGCACCCTTGTCCAGATGTCAGCACAGTCCCGCGGCCGTGGCAGCGCCCACGTCTTGGAGGTAGCATATGTGTTGCAGTGCGAACAGCGTTATGCTTCCCCGCTGGCCAGGTCCTAACTGAGAGACTCAGGGAGCCAATTACCCCTCACTCTCCAGACCACCGTTCTGGGGGAAGGAGGGGGTGCAGGTCCAGTGCTGATGATAAAAGCTCAGGAAAAACAGGCATCATTTCAGCAGATCATGCCTCTTCAGGCAGGCCTTCCTTCTGGCGCTCACTGTTGGATGCAGGGAGGCCGTAGGTGTGTCTGGGTCCTCTGGAGGGTGGGAGCCTCCACTATCCTGCAAGTCTGGTCACCAGGGACCCAGCACAGGCCCAGGGCTGCTGCAATGGGACATGCTGTAAAAGTGATTGTAAACAGGGCAGAAAAATGAATAGAAAAATAGAAGGCTTTTCTAGGGTTTGTGTCTAGAAATATGTGACCACAAAATATAAGTCTACAGCATCTCTGCAGAATTGACTTTCGGAGTCACCCAAGAATAAGAAATGTGAGGCATGGTTGGGTGCAGAGGCTCACGCCTGCAATCCCAGCACTTTGTGAGGCCAAGGCGGGTGGATCACCTGAGGTCAGGGATTCAAGACCAGCCTGGCCAACATGGTGAAACCAGGTCTGTACTAAAAATACAAAAATTGACTGGGTGTGGTGGTGTACATCTGTAATCCCAGCTATTCAGGAGGCTGAGGCAGGAGAATCGCTTGAACCCGGGAGGCAGAGGTTGCAGTGAGCTGAGATCGCGCCACTGCACTTCAGCCTGGACTACAGAGTGAGACTCTGTAAAATGGAGGGAGGGAAGGAGGAAGGGAGCGGGGAAGGAAAGAGGAGAGGAGAGAGGAGAGAGGTGAGAGGAGAGAAGAGAGGAAAGAGAAGAGGCAGAGGGAGAGACAGTGTTCCTGGAAGGGCAGAGCCGGGATCCAAATCCCCAGGCACCCTTCCTCCTGCTGCCCTGAGGTCCAGCCTTCCCTGGGGCGGGGGAGTGAGGGGGGCGCCTCAGAGGCAGGTGTGCTTATAGTCTTCGGAGCACTTTTTAAAAAAATAGCTTTAGTGAACCCCAAAAGCATACACTTTTGTTTTGCTTACTAAAACTCAGATTTCAGTGGTTGCAACATAGAATTTGTGTGAGAGGAACCCCTGGCCTCATCCTCCAAGTCTGCCTCTACTGTTTACTTGTAAGACAAACTTAAAGGGAGAGGCAGGAGCATGGCCTGAGGCAGGCGTCTCAGACCCGAGGGCGCACGAGGAAGCTCACGGGAGCTGTCAGGGTCAGAGATGTGACCCTGGAGACCCCACGGAGGGAGTGAGGTAGGCAGGAGGGGGACCCCCTGGGCCCTCCCTGTCCCCGTAGCACCAGCCCCTGTCCCTCTTCATACCCCAGCCCCCCTCCAGTCCCATGTGCCTGGAAGGTCTCCTCTGGCCCATCATCCTCCGGGGGACCTGGGATGTAACCTGTGAGACATTTGCCATCTCGGCAGAGCACATGGCCCACGGCCCAGCCTCTGACCGACCAGGAAGGCAGAAGAGTTTCTGGGGCATGTGGGTCAGCACAGACACGCGCTGGTGAGCAGACAGTTGGGCCTCTCCCCACACAGACTCCTCTCCATGCTGGGCCCAGGGCACTGGCACCCATGCCCAGAGTTTCCCCACCACTCCTGAACCTGAGGTGGAAGAAGGCAGGAAGCCAGGCCCGAGCCGTCCAGCTGGACAGAAGGACAGCAGCAGACTCAGCCCCTCCCCACTCAGGGCCAGTCCCTGGGGCCCCCGGGGAAGGAAGGCCCAGCCCGAGGGGTGGTGCGTGCCCTCTGACCTGGACGTGCCCCTGGGTTCACAGTTCAGCACAATACCTGCCAAGGGCTGACCCATTAGCAGCCACACAGCGTCCTGCGCACCATTTGGGTTCTTGCCCCGTTTCAGGCCCCCCGAGGCATGTTTGCTCTGAGCTGCTTGCCTTGTGCTGCCCGGTCACCGCTGTGCCACCTCTGCCCAGTGGGCTCTGCTATCCTATCCTTCCCGCCCCGAACCGGACTCTTGTCTGTTAAGTGGGCTGTGGTGTGAGTGGGGACAGATGCTGAGGGCGTGACGGCCACCACTTTCACGGTGGAATCTGGGGTAGCGGCCATCAGAAGGGGAGAGCAGTAAGAGTTCAGGGGTTTCTTCCCATACGCCTCAAGGGACCCCCATGGACAGGAGGGGACATAGAGGAGGGGCCAGGTTTTCCCAGATTTAGGGGGTGGGATGCAGAGGGGGCTGCACCCGGGACGGGGCAGGCCCAGGCAGGAGTGGCATGGACTCATTCGGTGGCCTCCCGGGAGGGACTCCGGCATCGCTCGCCGCCTCAGATTTGCCACAAAAACTGGCTGTGGCTGCCAGTTATGCTTGGGGCCGGACCCCACATTTTTCTGAATCCAACATCCCTGCCATCCCTGTCCCATCCACCAACGGGAGTGAGGGAAGTTTCCAGATCACTCAGAGGAAAGCGGGCACTTGGCCATCACCTGGCCCTACAGGCGGCCTCTACCCACATGGTTGTGCCTGCTGCATCCACACTGCTCATGGGACGTGCTCACTCAGGCCTGGAACACTCTCTGTATCCCCTGCTCGCTGGGCCCCCTCTCTTAGAAAGTGCCAGATACCACTCTGAGTGCGACCCCCTAAGCCTCCACTGCCCCCATGCCTGCTGGGTGCGTGCCACAAGCCTCGGCTCCCCGTTCCGCCCGCGCCTGCCCACCCGGGCCCTGGCCCATCCTTGGGTCCCGGGCAGCGCGTCTATCCGCCTCTCCCCGAATTGCCTGAAGGCAGAGGCTGTGCTGTGTCTGCAAAACAAAAACAGAGCCCTGCTCCCGCCTGAGTGAGCCCCGCTCCCACTGCTCTCCTGCACCTTCCCATCCTCACAGTGCCCGGCCTTGCTGTCTGCCCACCTTGACCCACCCGTGTGTTCTGTGGGGTCCGTGGTCTGGACTTCACAGAGCTGCCGGCCCCTCGCAGAGGCTCGAGTCACCCCTCTCCCTGCACACGTTGCACTTCCCTTGATTCAAAATCCTGCAGCGACATCACATTCCACTCGGATTAAAAGCAAAATCCGCAGCACTGGCTTGTGACCCACGCAGTCTGCACGGTCGGCTTCCCTCCTGGCTTATCTCCTGCCATCTCCTCTTCGCCAAGTGGCTCTGGCCACCCATCCGTGCCCTAGTCAAGGCCAGCCCACCTCAGACTCACTCCCTCCTGCCCACGAGCCTGGGCTCCAGGGTCCTCCCATGAAGGAGTCCTCCCTGATCTCTCCATGAATCCAATGCCCCCAGTCAGCACCCCCTGCCCTCTGGCTCACCGTGGACATTCTACACGCAGACCTGGCATGGCTCTCCCTGCTGTCTATCCTCTCACCAGCACAAACTCGGTGCCACACAGGGATCTCGATAACCAGGCCTTTCTGAACAAATTTACCATCACCCTCCACCATGGTGCTTCAACTGTCAGGCTGAATGTGCCAGTGATGCGTTATGATCATCAGCACGGATGATTTCTGTGTGTGCCATGCATGACGTGTGGTTCTATGACATTACACCTGTCCGCTGTGAGCCAGGGCTGACACAGGCCTGCATCTGGCCTAAACCATCCTCACATCCAAGTACTGCTTTCTGTGGGGTTTTCCTGCTCAGTTCCAGTCTGTCTCTGAGCCTAGCATCCCAGTCCACAAAGGAAGAAACTGAGGTTGAGAGAGACCAGAAGCTTGCCCTAGATAACACAACTGACCACCGCAAAGCTAAGGGAAGACAGACCCAGACCGTTTATCGCTGTGCTACCACGGGAGTGCCTGATGTGACAGGTCTCGCGTCAATATCTCTTTACACTTAGAATCTGAGATTGTGGAGTTAATGTACTTCCGTGAAGCTACACTTTATATGGAGTGTCTCAAAGAGTACAGTTGCAAAAATTATTAGAGTGTTCGGCTCATAGGATATCATTCAGTGTTGCCCAGCTGTGGTGGTGATCGTTTATTAGTAGTGAAAACATTCTCCTAGTTGTTCAAAATCATCTCTGGACTGATAAGTATACCATATAAATATTTTATAGGTGTAATTCAATTAATCTCCACAGGAAAATTTCTGTTGGATGCATGTAAGCATACTGTTTAAATTGTGCGTCTTCATTCCTTCCACTCCAGTGACTGAGACTGTGGAGAACAGACTCAAAACTGCAGCAAAGCGCTTATTCTTTTTTCATCACCTGTCAAATTATTACTGTGACGCCCGTACTTGGTGGTGAAACATTGTGATCCACAGCTATCTAGTAACGAGACGCCAAGTGTGAGCTGTGCATTGAGTTTAGGTAATGTACCAGAAAACATGGCATGAAAACACTAATTTTCTCAATATATATTAGTAGACACGGTGTTTACCAATGAGAAGTGAAGATGTTTTTAAACAGAGTTTGTTAACTCAAAGTCTTGGCCAGGCTGCATGCCCCTGTTCTCTAGCTTGTGTTAGAATTGAGGGCGGGGGTCTCCCCAAGGCGGGCACCGTGTTGGCCACACCACTCAAACCCACATGTCCCAGGGAGTGTCCTATGCCATATGGACTCAGCCTCGAACGTAGCCATGGCATACTGCCCAGGCACCGCCAGCATTCCTAGCATTGGGTCGGACGTGAATAGCTCCTCCCCTTTTCTCCAGCCCTTGTCTACGCAGCCTTCTGCCAGCCATGCACACCCAACTTTGGAAGGGGGACCTCCATACCCAGGCACCCTTGAGCCAGGCATGCTACTGAAGGAGAGCAGTGAGCTATTATTAAAAATGCGTGTCAAGCTGTTGAGCAAGGAGCTAGTTTAATTTAATTTATCTGGCCTATAAAAATAAAATAAAGAGGAATGCATTCTATGTTATTAGCAGCCTTAGATGACACCAGCATTCAAACATTTTATTACCTTATTATTGAACAGCGTCTCCAGCAAGGGCCTCTTTGTCTCTTTTGCTATTCTTAGGAAACCTATTCTTCAGTTTTAAGGAATAACTGTTGTCTAAGAGCCTGAAGAAAAGATGGTATCGTGTGGATTCTAAAAGTGGTTGATCTGAATGTGGTCCATGAAGAGCTCACTCCAGCTTTGCCCCCTTTGCCTCTCCGCTGGGCTCCTCCCCAGCTTTCTGTGCTGGGTTAGTCCCTGATATTTAGTGGGTTCCATTCTCGTACCTTTTAAAATAACCCTCCTGAGCCAACAGGGACAGGGAAGGGGGTCAAACCCGGAATGTGTCCTCTGGCTGCCAAGGGCGGCCGACCCATCGCAGGAGCACGCGTGTGCTGATTGTCCTTGGGATTTTGACTGCCGGTGCCGTGTTTCCTATTCAAATTAAAGGGGTGGGGAAGAGCTGGGCCTTTGATCTCACACTGACACATACCTACCAACACTCAAGTGGGTGCAGAGTGACCAGCACTGCGTCAGCGGCAGCTCTCTGCACTCTGGTACCTGGTACAAGCATTAATTCAACAATCACATTTAAAAGCAGTTGTTCAAAGGCCCTGTGGATGGTAGAATGAGGCATTCAGCCCCGAAGAGCACTTCAGCCAGTGCAGGGTCACAGCGGAGTGGCCCTGTCAGTGCAGAACCCAGGGAACCGCGTCGGTTCAGATGGAGGGGCGTCCGCTTCAGCTTTCCTTATTTACATTTATAGCTAATTATTGCCACTTCATAATGATGCCCTGAGGACCCAAAGAACTGGGTCGGGCTGGAAGATATCTAAAGGGTTTGATCGGGAGGGCGAAGAGAATTCTATCTCAATGGAATTTAATAAATTCAGTACATTTTATACACCTATAATGTATTATTATAATAAAACTTTATGCAGGCTTTTTTGGTATGTGTGTAGAACATTTTGAATTTATGAAAAATCCTAAAGAAGAACAAAACACCATTCCTAACCTCAATCCCAGAGAGAAATCGTTGTTAATGGTATGGCCTTTCCTTGAGGCATTTCTACCACAAACATCCTACAGTTCCTGAAAGTCCTCAGTTCTGCAAAATTTCTTTGGCAAAATAGGGTTGGGACAGACCCTCAAAATCTATGGAACTTTGTAACTAGAGCCCTAACCCAAACCACAGAATGCAAATGTCTCTCCAGGGGACATTTGGCAATGTCTGGATACATTTTCAGTTGTCACAGCTGGGGAAGTATGCCTGGGTGGAGAGCAGGGGTACTGCTAAATGCCCCACAGCGCACAGGGCAGCCCTTGAAGAGTGCCCATCGCCAACCCTGCAGAGTGCCCATCGTCCACCATGCAGAGTGCCCATCGCCCACCATGCAGAGTGCCCATCGTCCACCATGCAGAGTGCCCATCGCCCACCATGCAGAGACAGAGAAACCCAGCCTGCCTTCCCTCCCGAAGGACCCAACAAAACCTCACCTTCTCTATAATGTGCCACTCATGCCTCCCTCCCCATCTGCCCCATTATTGATTCATTTGTTCCTGTTGTCATTTGGTCATTTGCAGACATATCTTGAGTAGCCATTTGAGTAGCCGAAATGCTACAGATGTGAGCGTGTTGTGGCCCCATAGAGGGTCCCATAGTCTAGAGAAGAAGCCAGCATCAACCATACCAACAGCATCAACTATACCAACAGCATCAACCAAACTGACAACATCAACCATACCAACATCATCAACCATACCAACAACATCAGCCATACCAACAGCATCAACTATACTAAAAACATCAACCATACCAACACCAACTGCATCAACCATACCAACAACATCAACCATACCAACATCAACCAAACCAACACCAACAGCATCAAACATACTAACAGCATCAACCATACCAACAGCATCAACCAAACCAACACCAACAGCATCAACCATACCAACAACATCAACCATACTAACAGCATCAACCATACCAACACCAACAGCATCACATACCAACATCATCAACCATACCAACAACATCAGCCATACTAACAGCATCAACTATACCAACAACATCAACCATACCAACACCAACAGCATCAACCATACCAACACCAACAGCATCAACCATACCAACACCAACAGCATCAACCATACCAGCATCATCAACCATACCAACACCAACAGCATCAACCATACCAACATCATCAACCATACCAACAACATCAACCATACCAACATCAACCAAACCAACACCAACAGCATCAAACATACTAACAGCATCAACCATACCAACAGCATCAACCAAACCAACACCAACAGCATCAACCATACCAACAACATCAACCATACTAACAGCATCAACCATACCAACACCAACAGCATCAACCATACCAACACCAACAGCATCACATACCAACATCATCAACCATACCAACATCAGCCATACTAACAGCATCAACTATACCAACAACATCAACCATACCAACACCAACAGCATCAACCATACCAACACCAACAGCATCAACCATACCAACACCAACAACATCAACCATACCAGCATCATCAACCATACCAACACCAACAGCATCAACCATACCAATACCAACAGCATCGACCTTACCAACACCAACAGCATCAACCATACCAACATCATCAACCATACCAACAACATCAACCAAACCAACACCAACAGCATCAAACATACTAACAGCATCAACCATACAACAGCATCAACCAACCAACACCAACAGCATCAACCAACCAACAACATCAACCATACAACAGCATCAACCATACCAACACCAACAGCATCACATACCAACATCATCAACCATACCAACAACATCAGCCATACTAACAGCATCAACTATACCAACAACAACAACCATACCAACACCAACAGCATCAACCATACCAACACCAACAGCATCAACCATACCAACACCATCAACCATACCAACACCAACAGCATCAACCATACCAATACCAACAGCATCGAACTTACCAACACCAACAGCATCAACCATACCAACATCATCAACCATACCAACAACATCAGCCATACCAACAGCATCAACTATACCAACAACCTCAACCATACCAACAGCATCAACCATACCAACAACATCAGCCATACCAACACCAACAGCATCAACCATACCAAAAACATCAGCCATACTAACAGCATCAACTATACCAACAGCATCAACCATACCAACACCAACATCATCAACCATACCAACAGCATCAACCATACCAACAGCATCAACCATACTAACAGCATCAACCATACCAACAGCATCAACCATACTAACAGCATCAACTATACCAACAGCATCAGTGTACTTTGTGTCCATTAACTGATGTAATTTTACCACCACTGCATCAGAAAGTCCAAATATAATTTTATTTTACAGATGCAGAATTTGGCACATAGACAATTACAATAGATCAGAGTACCAATATTGGCACGTCAATAATGCTGTAGGATTACAGCAAGTATTCATTGAATTCTTTCCATGCCTAGAGCTGTGGGTAACACTGGGAGCACAAACACTGACTTTTTAATGACATATTTCACGACAGCAAGAGGTTGTTTTAACATCATATGCCAAAATCCAAATAAAATTTATTTTGTAATGTTTATGTTTTAAAAATCATTTTTCAAAAACCTGACATTTTATTTTTAAGGGATAAAAATATTGCTAATTGCCTTTATATTGATCTGTGGTTTCTGAAAAAAAAAATGGCATGTGTAATTGTCCCATAAAAGCATTTTAAAAGAAATGACAACATGTAAATTAAAATCTATCCCCTGAGGACATCAGCAGAAGCAATAAATTGATAGTGATGAATTTTGTTTCTCTCATCTCAAGTTTCTAGGGATATTTTTCATGCTATACCAATGATAATGAAAAAAAAGAAAATTAACATTTCAGTTTATAAAAATTATTTTCCTGAGAGTCAGGGTCACAATGTGAGTGTTTATTTTTACATAACTGTTTAGGCGTATGGTGGGGAGGTGGGATTAGGTAGCAATAAACATACAGAAAAGAACCTTATCAGCACTTTCCAACATGGTAGCCACTAGCCACATGTGGCTTTTTAAATTTAAATTTGAATTTAACTTATTCAAAATCAAATACAATTAAAAACTCAATTCTTCTTCCTCACTGGCCACGTTTCAGGTGCTCAACAGCCCTGTGTGGTTGGCGGCCACCGTCGTGCACGGGGTAGATGTACGGCGTCTCTGTCGTCACATAAAGGCCTCTCGACAGAGCCGTCCTGGGTACAACACCATCCTGGCTACAGAGCCGTCCCAGATACAGAGCCATCCCGGACACAGAGGTGTCCCGGGTACAGCGCCATCGCGGATACAGAGTCATCCCGGGCACAGAGCCTTCCTGGGTACAGAACTGTCCTGGGTACAGCACCATTCCGGGTACAGAGCCGTCCCGGGTACAGAGCCATCCCTCATACAGAGCTGTCCCAGACACAGAGGCATCCCGGGTACAGAGCCGTCCCAGGTACAGAGCCGTCCCGGATACAGAGCCGTCCTGGGTACAGAGCTGTCCTGGGTACAGAGCCTTCATGGGTACAGAACTGTCCTGGATACAGAGCCGTCCCGGGTACAACACCGTCCTGCGTACAAAGCCGTCCCGGATACAGAGCCGTCCTGGGTACAGAGCCTTCACGGGTACAGAACTGTCCTGGACACAGAGCCGTCCCAGGTACAGAGCCGTCCCAGGTACAGAGCCGTCCCGGGTACAACACCATCCTGCGTACAGAGCCGTCCTGGATACAGAGCCATCCCGGATACAGAGCCGTCCTGGGTACAGAGCCTTCATGGGTACAGGACTATCCTGGATACAGCGCCATTCGGGGTACAGAGCCATCCTGGGTGGGTCTCCGTGCTTTCAGTTGTCATCGGGCAGCAGCATCAGGTCTGGAACGCATCTCTGGCCCTTCATCTAGCCAGCCATTGTGTGTCAGAAGCATCCTCTTGTGTCAAATGCCATTTTTGAGATTATAAACATTGTGTCAGGTTTGATGCCTTCAGAGAAAATTACTCAGACTTTATATAAATATGTGTTCAAATATGGTTTTGAGAAGTTCGCTGACTCAGACCCCGCAAACTGTTAGGAGGTCCCTAAGACCCTGCAGCTGTGTCCCAGGGTACAAGGGTGGCCCCACACAGTGTCTGTGGGGCGGAGCTGGACGGATCCCATCTCCACGTGTCTCCTTCTCCAGCTCTAGTGTGACAACTGACTTAGGAACCAAACACCACTGCCATGCAGATGAGTCAAAACCCATGGGCTCCGCAAAGATTCCACAGGTTCTGGGTGGACATGGTATGGCCTTGCTAAAACAGGACATGGAACCAAAAGCAGGAGTCCCTTCCTTTAGGAAATGCCAGGGTCAGAACAAATAAGCTGACCTGGAATCGCTGCCCAGTAAGAAAGGAAGATCTGTTTCAGCCAACAGCTGCCCACCTCCCTTCTGGACCTAAAAGTCCTCTGTTGAAGCTGTCAGGCCTCAGAGTCAGGGCGCGTTGGCATCTCCCGGGGCATTTACCTGCACTGCCAAGGGAGTGATTCGTGAGTACTAAAAGGAGGTGCCCGCTCTCGCCGCGGGGTCCAGACCATTTCCGATGGATGGGGCGGAGGTTGCCTGCACTTCCTAGTGCTGTCTGCGGTCAGGCTTCCAGCTGCAGCAAGCCCCGGTGGGACCCACAGCCTTGAATTACGAAAATCACAGGCGCAGGACGCAGCCTCCATGCTGCAGAATGGGCACATGCTTTGTGCAGTGGTGACTTTCACACCAGACTGCGTGTGTGCCCTGTGTGGGTGTTCCTGGAGTGTGCCACGGGCCGTGTACCCTGCGTGGGTGTGCACAGGGTGTGCCACGGGCTGCGTGCCCCGCGTGGGTGTGCACGGGGTGTGCTGCCTGCACGCAGCTGCTGGCTGCTACCATTCTGCTCTTGTTTTGTTCCTTACAACCTCTTTGCACTGAAACCCAGATGCAAGTGAAATGGTCACAAAAGAAGTATCTGGGTTAAATGCGTGCTAAACAGGTTTAAAATTACAGCTCATTGTTTGGAAGCAGATGCAAGCCTCAAACAAATGCAAAACATCAATGCAGATGCAAACGGGAGGGCAATTTGAAAATTCAATCCTAAGTGCCTGATACTGTCAGGGGCGAACTGGGCTGGCTTCCCTGGGGGCCTTCGGCCGGAAGGGCCGGCCCCAGGAAGGACAGTGAGGGAGCCGTCTGCTCAGTGAGGGAGGGGTTGATAAGAGCAAAATCCACACCGCTCTTTGGCTTCCTTACAGTTCTCTAATTTCTCAAACAGCGTTAATGATATTTCTGATATCTTGGGAATGCCAAGAATAAAATGAGCTTCAAGCACATTCCTGTGATTTCCTTTGTGAGTAACTTTACGAGGGTGCCCAGAAGGGTTTTCTTTCTCCATATACCCAGAAGCTTCCATGCTTTCAGCAAGGAATGACCCACATTTAATCTTGGGTTGGGTTCATACACATTTCCTCTTTGTTTCCTCCCTGGATATGTTTTGCACGCCAGTGTTGCTCGCATGATTCGCAAGTCCCTAATAACAGGCTCATATTTATGCAGTCGGCCCTCAAGCCTGGCTTCATACGCAAATGCATGGGACATAATACCTGTATTTTATGATGACAACACCGATTATAGAACCTGGATCTGCTGTCCTGGAGTATTCCTGGCAAGTTCTCTGTTTTATAACTGCCCTATGGAGGCAGGGATCTAATGTTGATTGTTACGCGTTTGGCATTTTAATAAGCACTTGACTCTTGTCTCTAGGGGGTAGATATTGTTCCTTTTACTGACCAGTTAGGGCGGTGCAACTTGAGACAGGAAGCAGCTTGCCCAGGGGACACTGAGTGGGAAGCAGAGCCCCTCCCCTTCACCCAACCCAAACCCAGATCTGAGGCGGTCGCATCACACTGATGGCTCTGCCCACCTGGAAGGAAAGGGTTCACACCACACCATCGGCAACTCATTCTTTTTTGTTTTCAGTGTTTTAGTGTCAAGTCAATATTTGAAAAAAATAGAAGAGGTCATGTTTTACTTTTGCTATGTGACTTTTGATTAATCGAATGCTTTCTTTTTTATTTTTTAATTTTTTAATTGACAAAATTGCATATATTGTATACAACATGTTGTTTTGAAATATACATATATTGTGAAATGTTTAAATAGACTAATTATATGCATGGTCTCACATACCATTTTGTGTAGGAGAACACTTAAAATCTACTCTTAGTAATTTTCAAGAATATAATACATTGTTACTAACAATGTAGTCACCACCGTTGTACGATAGATCTCTTGAACTTGTTCTTCCTGTCTAGCTGAAAGTTTGTACCCTTTGACTAACATCTCTCCAGCACCTCACCCCCCTACCCACCGCCCCACCCCACAATCCCTCCACCCCAGTCCCTGGTAACCACCATTCTATCCTCTGCTTCTGTGACTTCAACTCTTTTAGCTCTTTTAGCTTCAACAAGTGAGATTGTGCAGTATTGGTATTTGTGCAGTTGGCTTATTTCACTTAATATAATGTCCTTCTGGTTCATCCATGCTGTCTCAAGTGAGAGGATCTCCTTCTTTAAGTCTGAATAATATTCCATTGTGTATGTGCCACATTTTCTTTATCCATTCATCCCTTGAAGGACACATAGGTTGATTCTATATTGGCTATATTGGCACTATTCAAGTGCTGCAGGGAATGTGGGGGTGCAGACAGCTCTTAGACTTACTGACTCCAATTCCTGTGGGTATATGCCTGCCTTTGGGACTGCTGAATCATATTGTGGTTGTATTTTTAGTTTTTGAGGAATCTCCATACTGTTCTCCATCATGGCTGTAGTAATTTACATTCCCACCGACAGGGTACAAGAGTCCCCTTTTCTCTGCATCCTCACCAAAACTTGTTATCTTTCGTCTTTGACAATGGCATTCTAACAGGTGGGAGGTGATGTGGCATTGTGGTTTTAATGTACATTTCTCTGATGATAAGTGATTTTGAGCATTTTTCATATACCTGTTGGACATTTGTCTGTCGTCTTTTGAGAAATGTCTATTCAGCTCTTTTGATCACTTTCTAATTGGGCTATTTATTTTCTTACTGTTGAGTTGTTTGAAGTTCTTTCATATCTTGGTACTAGCCACTTATCAGATGTGTGGTTTGCAGGTACATTTCCCATCTGTAGGCTGTCTCTTCACTCTGCTGATTGTTTCCTTTGCCATGAAGAAGCTTTTTATTAATATTTTGATGAAATCTCGTTTGTCTTTGTTGAATTTGCTTCCTGTGCTTTTGGGGTCATATCCAAAAAATCGTTGCCCAGATTAATGTCATGGAGCTTTTTCCTCTAGGTTTTCTTTTAGTAGTTTCACAGCTTCAGATCTTATGTTGAAATGCTTCATCCATTCAAGTTGATATTTATATATGGTGTGAGGTAAGGATGCAATTTCATTCTTCTGCATGTAGATATTCAGTTATCCCAACACCATGACATATATTCTTATTCCATGTAAGCTCTATAACTTTGCCATAACTTTGCCAAAAATACTGAAACTTAGCTCTCAGACCAATGGACTGCTTTAAATTATCTTCCCCTTTGCTACTTACTACAGTTTAATATAAAGAGAAATCTTAAAATACCTAAGTGCTGCTTAAAAACATAAACCTCCCTACCATTTGTAGATTATTCATACATCTCCTCTTCTTGGGGAGATGGAGGGAAGAGGTGGGTTCTAGAAGGCATTCTTCCCCAGCTATCTTCTGCTAATAGCAGGCTCCTGATTATCAAGCTGGAAGTGGAAGGGGCTGTGATGCTGTCAAAACTTATAAACTATTAGCTTCTTAATGATAATATATACTATCTGCTACTATTATACACAATAATATATACTAGTGAGTTTCCTATATATATTGACTATTTCACTTAACACCACACTACCAACATTTTACTTATTCAATACCTATTTAAGATTCTACTGCATGCCAGGCACCCTTCTAGGTGCAGAACATACAGCCGTGAACTGTGTCCTGTTGTCTTAAAAGGGGAAGATGGACACTAGCGAATCAACAAGCATGAGGACAGTAGATGTACACACAGGTTTAGGCACCACTGGAAAATTCAAAATAATGTAAGGCTCACATTTTCTCTATGTGTGTGTATATATATCACATTTTCTCTGTGTGTGTGTGTATATATATACACATATATACACATATATACGTATATACGTATATATGTATACATATATGTATATATACACATATATACATGTATATACGTGTATATATACACATATATACATATATACGTGTATATATATACACATATATACATGTATATATACACACATATATATACACATATATACATATATAAATATATACACATATATAATATATACACATATACACATATATACATATATATACACACACACATATGTACATCTACTTGTATGTATATGTATATACACTAGTATATATTATTGTGTATAATAGTAGCAGATATTATAGAGAGAGAGATGAGAGAGAGAGAGGTGGGATTTTGCTATGTTGCCCAGGTTGGTCTTGAATTCCTGACCTCAAGCAATCCTCTTGCTTCAGTCTCCTAAGTAGCTGGGACTATAGGTGTGATCCATCACACTGACTTCACACTATATTTTTAAACGTATGGCCTTGATCTCAAGAGGCAACAGTGCTTTTCCATTTCTATTTAACTACAAAGACTCCCAAAGTACTGCTCTTTGTACTGACCAGTTAGGGCAGTGCAACTTGAGACAGGAAGCAACTTGCCCAGGGGACCCTGAGTGGGAAGCCTGGCCTCGCCCTACTGGCTCTGACCTGGTGTTTGCCCATCACTGTATCCATGAAACAAGTCAGCCTTCCCGACATCGACTGGCTTTAAAAAAGCATCTGATAAAAATATGGTTACTTTTATTACCAAGAAAAATGTTAAAATAGGCTGGGCATGGTGGCTCATGCCTGTTACGCTAGTACTTTGGGAGGCTAAGGCAGGCAGATTGCTTGAGCTCAGGAGTTCAAGACCAGCCTGGACAACATGGAAAAATCCCATCTCCACAAAAAATTAGCCAGGCATAGGGGCCTATAGTCCCAGCTACATGAGGAGCTAAGACAGGAGGATCGCTTGAGCCTGGGAGGTCAAGGCTGCAGTGAGCCAAAATCATGCCCCTGCACTCCAGCGTGGGTGACAAAGAGAGACCCTGTTTCAAAAGAAAAAAAGAAAAAGAGAAATGTTAAAATACGTATGGACATAAAACTGTGTATCCTATGAAAAGCACATTTTGTACTGTAGCCTGAGTGAATATGTTACCCCTATGCTGAGTGCTGTCGTAACTTGCTTCCAAATGCTGAGCTTTTATTGTTTCAGTGTTCTTCTTCACAAAATTACCTCAGCTTTCTATGTGCTTAGTAACTGCTTTCTGGGCGAGTATTGCTTTGGGGTGCATTACCATGTGCTAGGAACGAGGAGAAAGTGTACCCTTCCCCACCCTCCTGCCCTGTGGTGCCCGTGTCCAGTGAACCTGGGTAGGCCCCTAGGCAGGCGAGGGGAGTGTGGGTGCCCGGGAGGCTGGCCTCCGGCAACACTGTTCCCTCCCTAGGGTTGTCTCCAAGGGCTGTTCCAAGGGTGCATGAAAACATTCCAATAGTTCTTGGAAGGAAAACAAATACATTCTACAAAATCTTTAAAAAAAACAATCTTTAAGGGATGCAGCCAGTCACTGCAGGATTCGCGCTGCCTCTGCTCTGCCACAACCACGAAACGTGTTTTCCTTCCGAGGAAAAACCCAAGGTGATTGGAAGTCAGCTTCACCCCATTCTTCTTGCCTTAATTTCAAGGCACCTTGAAGAAAAAAATAGACACCCTCCTCTCTGTGAAAGGAAAATCTTGGGGCACCAAATTACTAAGCCAAAGGAAAAAGTCCAGCTGGGAACTGTTCAGGGCAAACCTGCCTTCCATTCTATTCAAAGTCATCCCTCTGCTCACTGAGATAGATGCATATCTGATTGTCTGCTTTGGAAAGGCTAATCAGAAACTCAAAAGAATGTAACTGTTTGTCTCTCACCTTCCTGTGACCTGGAAGCCCCCTCCCTGCTTTGAGTTGTCCCCCCCTTTCCGGATGGAACCAATGTACTTCTTACATGTATTGATTGCTGTCTCACGTCTCCCTAAAATGTATAAAATCAAGCTGTGCCCCGACCACCTTGCGCACCTGTCGTCAGGACTTTCTGAGACTGTGTCATAGGTGTATCCTCAACCTTGGCAAAATAAACTTCCTAAATTAACTGAGACCTGTCTCAGATTATCAGACTTTACACCCCAAAATATCATTTATTTGTATGCAGAAGATCTCTAACTGGAGGCAAAGCATCCCTCTGTGTAACAGACACAGAAACAGCATTTGTGGGGTCAGATTACCATAAGACCAATCCCATTCCACTTTCAATTTCCCAAACATTTACAGAGAGACTGCTAATTACCCTAGCACTGGTCGGCTAGTACATCTCCCCTTAAAAATAAAAGTATAACAGGATAAAAACATGGTTAAAA